>NW_003571061.2:0-195632 GCF_000001405.40 Homo sapiens | reverse complement strand
GAATTCCCCATGAGTCCTGTGACCTCAGCCCACGCGGGGACCTACAGGTGCTACGGCTCATACAGCTCCAACCCCCACCTGCTGTCTCACCCCAGTGAGCCCCTGGAGCTCGTGGTCTCAGGTGAGGGCGCTGACCCCGTCCTCTCTGAGCTCAAAGGCTCAGCTCAGGCCCAGGCCCCCAGGAGAGCTCTCGGCTGGGATGGACCGAGGGAGGCTGTGAGGGAGGCTTAGCCAGAGGGCACCCAGCCCTCAGAGGGGAGGAGGCCAACAGGGGTTCTCCTAGGCGTGGCCACCCGTTCTCCCCTGCCTGGCATGCAGAAGGCACCAGGTGGGCAGAGAGATGGTTCCAGGGAATCCACTGGGCGGAAGCAGGAGAGTGGGAGTGGAAGGGTGCACTCCATGGACGGCCCCCGCCCCTCACCCGCCTCCCGTGCTCCTTCCAGGACACTCTGGAGGCTCCAGCCTCCCACCCACAGGGCCGCCCTCCACACCTGGTGAGTCACTGAGGCCTCGTGGGGAGCGCCGCCTCCCCCAGGGCAGTCTGAGTCTCCCAAAGGATCCCACTCCCCTCCCCTCAAGGACGGGCTTGTGTCCCAGGGGCTCTGAGGCTGGGCTGGTGAAGAGTGGGGGGTCGAGGCAGAGGGAGATGTTGGGGCCCAGCCAGGAGGAGGAGCCGGGCTGATGTGGGGGGCAAGACAGCCCCAGCCTTCACCTCCCTGTCCTGACCCAGGAGGTCCTGAGGACCAGCCCCTTAACCCCCCAGGGTCAGGCCCTCAGAATCGTGAGTGAGGGGCTCTGAGTGGGAGATGGGCGGGGTCCAGGGGAGGCAGGGGTGGGTTCTGTCCTAGGTTCAGGCTCCTCTGGAGGTGGTGATGTGGACAGGCCCCTCCCCTGCCTGGGCCTCAGTTTCTCCAAGTGTAAAGGAGAGAGGCCTGTGGGTGGGAAAGTTCCTTTCAGCTCTGACCCCCAGCTGTGACCTCCTGGGAGAGGAGGCCTCCCAGGGAACCTCCCAGACCCGATTCCACAGGGGCCTGTCCCGTCCCACCTGCAGCAGTGACGGTGACCTGGGGCAGGGGAGGGGAGCAGGGCCGTGGTTCAGGACGGTCAGGCTCTTTCCCTGCAGCTCCGGGTCTCGGCTCTGGTGCAGGAACAAGGGCTGCAGGTCAGACTCCCGGGCTCCCTTCCCAGCTCTGCCGCTTCCTCGCTGGAGGCCTGGGGCAGGCGACTCCCTGCTCTGAGCCTCAGTTTGTGCATCTGTGAAATGGGTTGTACGGGTGGCAATTCCATGTTGCACGACTGCTTGTGAGGGTTGGAGGTCACGAAGGAAAGACCTGGCTCGCGCCTGCACACAGTAGGTGCTCACATCAATGACATCATTCCCACTCCTGACGTCCTCATGTCAAGGTCTGGGAAGATACCTGGAGGTTTTGATTGGGGTCTCGGTGGCCTTCGTCCTGCTGCTCTTCCTCCTCCTCTTCCTCCTCCTCCGACGTCAGCGTCACAGCAAACACAGGACATCTGGTGAGTAGGGAAGCGGGGGACCCATGGGTCGACCGAGGGTGGGCTCAGGGCACCAGCCAGAGGGAACCCAAACACACAGGGGTGTCAGTTTAGAAAACCGGTTCCAGGGGCACGTAATTTCAATACGCATTTACAAACTTCAGTATTCATGGGAGTTTTTTTCTATCTCATAAAATATTTGGAACATCCATGCAGGAATATTTTTAGTTTTCCTTCTTTCCCTCAAGTTGCATGTGTAGAATGGGAGTTCTAATGTTCCCAGGGCTGAGACTCTGTCCATCTTCACCCAGACCAGAGAAAGACTGATTTCCAGCGTCCTGCAGGGGCTGCGGAGACAGAGCCCAAGGACAGGGGCCTGCTGAGGAGGTAATTCTGCCCCAAAGACCACAGACTCCCACCCACCACAGCCCATACACTGCCCCTCACACTCCCATGTCCTCCTCCAGGTCCAGCCCAGCTGCTGACGTCCAGGAAGAAAACCTCTGTAAGAGGAAGAGAGGGGACAAATGGGGGTGCTGGAGAGACAGGAGTCCCAAAATTTCAGTAGCAACAGGGAGGGGCTGGGAAGGGTCTGGGGCTCCGTGGAAGATGGTCTTGCCCCACACTGTGGGACCTCCCTGCATTCGGTGGCCCCATCTGGGAGCAGGGCAGGGGGCCAGCAGGACTGAGAGGTCTCAGAGAACCAGGAGACGAACCCCTTGCTCTGCCCCAGCAGATGCTGCCGTGAAGGACACACAGTCTGAGGACAGGGTGGAGCTGGACAGTCAGGTGAGATCCCGCCCCGTCCCAGGCACCAAAGGCCTCCTGGTGCCAGATCTAATCCTGCAGGACTTCTCTGTCCTCCTTCCCCCGGCTCTCAGCATCGTCACGGTGGACCCCTCCTTGTCCAGCATGCTGCCTCCCGCCTGCTGTGACCTCACTCTCTTCTGCTGTCCTGGGACCTCGTGGGCCTCCTCCCGGGTCCCCTTCCTGCTCCTCATCCTCTGTTTGGCCGTCTGGTTGTTAGAGCTCTCCCCAGGCCTCAGGAGGATGACGAATAAATGAACCACCTCCGTCCCCTGGGCTCCTCTTCATTCATTCATCCAGCGAGTGTTCCCAGGGAGCTCACTGTGGATGGGGCTCCCCATGGGAGCTGCAGACACAGCAGGGAGCAAAGCCGCCCCCGCCTCCTGAGCTCACCTCATGGTGGGAGACAAAATGCAAATAAATGCATCGTGTCCAGGAGTGCAACGTGCTGTAAGGAACATACACCAGGGAAAGGGCAGAGAGTGTGGGGCAGTGGGGCCAGTCTGAATGGAAGGGGAGGGCTGTCTGCTCAGCTGTCATCTGAGAAGCCTGGACAGAGTGGGGCACATGATCCTCTGATAGACGAGCCCCTGCAGGCAGAGGAAACAGCCGTGCAAAGGCCCCCAGGCAGCAGCGAGCTCTTGCAGGAAGGCCTGTGAGGCTGCAGCCAAATGGGCAAGGTCAGAGTGAGGAGCAGAGGCCAGAACCACAGGGAGGGAGCGGCCAGACCCTCCACGGCCTTAGGGCGTCCCTGAGATTCCATCAGGAAAGGGATGTAATCGGATCACCCCGGGAACAGTGAGGAAAATTGACTCCAGGAGGTCAGGGGGACTCAAGGACACCCCCCACCACTGTCTCTCTCCAGCAGAGCCCACACGATGAAGACCCCCAGGCAGTGACGTATGCCCCGGTGAAACACTCCAGTCCTAGGAGAGAAATGGCCTCTCCTCCCTCCTCACTGTCTGGGGAATTCCTGGACACAAAGGACAGACAGGTGGAAGAGGACAGGCAGATGGACACTGAGGTGAGTCCTTTCCTCTCCAGGCCCCCAGGCCTCCCCCACCCCCACCACGTTCCTTACCTCTCACTCTCCCCCGCTGCAGGCTGCTGCATCTGAAGCCTCCCAGGATGTGACCTACGCCCAGCTGCACAGCTTGACCCTTAGACGGAAGGCAACTGAGCCTCCTCCATCCCAGGAAGGGGAACCTCCAGCTGAGCCCAGCATCTACGCCACTCTGGCCATCCACTAGCCCGGGGGGTACGCAGACCCCACACTCAGCAGAAGGAGACTCAGGACTGCTGAAGGCACGGGAGCTGCCCCCAGTGGACACCAGTGAACCCCAGTCAGCCTGGACCCCTAACACAGACCATGAGGAGACGCTGGGAACTTGTGGGACTCACCTGACTCAAAGATGACTAATATCGTCCCATTTTGGAAATAAAGCAACAGACTTCTCAACAATCAATGAGTTAATAACAAAAAAACAAAAAACAAAAACAGACGTAAAGGCCGGGTGTGGTACTCAGGAGGCTGAGTGGGGAGGATTCCTTGAACACAAGAAGTTAAGGCTGCTGAGGCTGCAGTGAGCTATGACTGTGCCACTGCACTCCAGCCTGTGTGACAGAGCGAGACCTTGTCTCTAAAAAAAAAAACAGTGAATGTTTTAAACTGAATGATAATGTAAATATTATACATCGAACTTATGACATGGGAAAATTAAGAAGCATAAATAGGCCGGGCGCGGTGGCTCACGCCTATAATCTCAGCACTTTGGGAGGCTGATGCGGGCGGATCATGAGGTCAGGAGATCGAGACCATCCTGGCTAACACGGTGAAACCCCGTCTCTACTAAAAATACAAAAAAATTAGCCGGGCGTGGTGGCGAGTGCCTATAGTCCCAGCTACTCAGGAGGCTGAGGCAGGAGAATGGCATGAGCCCGGGAGGCAGAGCTTGCAGTGAGCTGAGATCGCACCACTGCACTCCAGCCTGGGCGACAGAGTGAGATTCCGTCTCGAAAAAAAAAAAAAAAGAAAGAAAAAAAATAAAAAAGAAGCATAACCAGGTGCAGTGGCTCACACCTGTAATCCCAATACTTTGGGAGGGCAAGTGGGGAGGATAGCTTGAGCTCAGGAGTTCGAGTCAGTCAGATCAGCATTGTGAGGCCCCATCTCTACAAAAAATAAAACCAGTCCGGCGTGGTGGCACACACCTGTAGTCCCAGCTACTTGAGAGGCTGAGGTGGGAGGATCACTTGGGTACAGGAGGTCGAGGCTGCAATGAGCCGAGATCGCACCACAGCACTTCAGCCTGGACGAGACCCTGTCTCAAAAAAACAAAACAACTAACAAGCCAGTGAAATTATCTGTTGATTAGTGTTTGCATAATACATTTTTCATCCTTCTGCTTTTTTAATGTGATAAAATATAAACAACAGGCCAGGCGCGGGGGTTCATGCCTGTAATCCCAGCACTTTGGGAGGCCAAGGCGGGTGGATCACAAGGTCAGGAGTTCAAGACTAGCCTGGCCAAGATGGTGAAACCCCATCTCTACTAAAAATACAAAAACTGGCCAGGTGTGGTGGCAGGCACCTGTAATCCCAGCTACTAGGGAGGCTGAGGCAGAGAACTGCTTGAACCCAGGAGGCAGTGGTTGCAGTGAACCGAGATCACACCACTGCACTACAGCCTGGGCAACAGAGCAAGACTCTGTCTCAAAAAAAAAAAATTCCAATCTTGTAATCTCTTTTTGATCACTTATATTTAATGTAATCACTGATGACATTACAACCGTATGTCACTTAATGACAGGGATATGTTCTGAGAAAGCCATCATTAAAAAATTTTGGCCAGGCGTGGTGGCTCATGCCTGTAATCCCAGAACTTTGGGAGGCCAAGATGGGTGGATCACCAGAGGTCGGGAATTCGAGACCAGCCTGCTCAACATGGTGAAACCCTGTCTCTACTAAAAATACAAAAATTAGCCGGGCATCGTGGTGCATGCCTGTAATCCCAGCTACTTGGGAAGCTGAGGCAGGAGAATCGCTTGAACCTGGGAGGCGGAGGTTGCAGTGAGCCAAAATCGTGCCATTTCACTCCAGCCTGGGAGACAGAATGAGACTCCATCTCAAAAAAAAGAAAAAAAAAAATTCACCGTCGTGTGAACATCATAGAGTCTACTTACACAAACCTACGTGGTATAACCTACTACATACATAGGCTATACCATCACATATGAAATGTGTAGTGGAGCGAAACATCGTTATGCGGTGCATGACTGTGTTCAGGTGTGCCTTTTTGTTTGTCTCCTCTGCTGTGTGTTGTTTCCCCTTTCCTGCCTACTCTAGGTTTTTAGAAATATTTTGATTTGTTAAAAACTTATGATTCCCCCCTCGCCCGGCCAGCCGCCCCGTCCGGGAGGGAGGTGGGGGGGTCAGCCCCCCGCCAGGCCAGCCGCCCCATCCGGGAGGTGAGGGGCGCCTCTGCCCGGCCGCCCCTACTGGGAAGTGAGGAGCCCCTCTGCCCGGCCGCCACCCCGTCTGGGAGGTGTACCCAACAGCTCATTGAGAACGGGCCATGATGACAATGGCGGTTTTGTGGAATAGAAAGCGGGGAAAGGTGGGGAAAAGATTGAGAAATCGGATGGTTGCGGTGTCTGTGTAGAAAGAGGTAGACATGGGAGACTTTTCATTTTGTTCTGTACTAAGAAAAATTCTTCTGCCTTGGGATCCTGTTGATCTGTGACCTTACCCCCAACCCTGTGCTCTCTGAAACATGTGCTGTGTCCACTCAGGGTTAAATGGATTAAGGGCGGTGCAAGATGTGCTTTGTTGAACAGATGCTTGAAGGCAGCATGCTCGTTAAGAGTCATCACCACTCCCTAATCTCAAGTACCCAGTGACACAAACACTGCGGAAGGCTGCAGGGTCCTCTGCCTAGGAAAACCAGAGACCTTTGTTCACTTGTTTATCTGCTGACCTTCCCTCCACCGTTGTCCTATGACCCTGCCAAATCCCCCTCTGCGAGAAACACCCAAGAATGATCAATAAAAAAAAAAAAAAAAAACTTATGATTCCTTAACTTTTCTATTTAATATTTTTGGACCATGGTTGACCACCAGGTAACTGAAAACACAGAAAGAAAATTACAGATAAAGGGGGACTACTGTATTAGAGTTTTTTAAAAATATATTTTAAATTTTTTTGTAGCAATGGGATCTCACGATGTTGCCCAAACTGGCCTCAAACTTGTGGGCTCAAGAGCCTCCCATCTCCGCCTCCCAAAGTGTTGGGATTACAGGCATGAGCCACTGTGCCCAGCTTAAGAGTTTTTAATTGAAAAATAATAATTGTACATATTTATGGAATACAGAATATTTGATTTTATCTACGTGTGTGTGTGTGGTTTTTTTTTTTTTCGAGATGGAGTTTCACTCTTTTTGCCCAGGCAGGAGTGCAATGGTGCAGTCTCGGCTCACTGCAACCTCCGCTTCCCAGGTTCAAGTGGTTCTCCTGCCTCAGCCTCCCAAGTAGCTGGGACTACATGTGTGCACCACTATGCCCAACATATATATATTTACATATATATATATTTTTTTTTGAGACGGAGTCTCGCTCCATTCTACCTCAGCCTCCCGAGTAGCTGGGATTACAGACACATGCCACCACGCCTGGCTAAGTTTTATATTTTTAGTAGAGACAGGGTTTTGCCAGGCTGGTCTTGAACTCCTGACCTCTTGATCTGCCTGCCTCCCAAAGTGCTGGGATTATAGGCGTGAGCCACCGCACCCGGCCCAACAAATATATTTTTATTGAGATACAACTCTATTTTGTGGCATTTAGTAAATTCACAATATGGTGTAAGCATCACCTCTATCTCATTCCGAAACATTTTTATCATACCGAGAAGGAAACCGAGTTTACATCAAGCAATCACTCCCACCTAATCCCATGCAACAATTAACCTACTTTCTGCCTCTATCGATTGGCCTTCTTTGAATACCTTTTTTTTTTTTTTTTGAGACAGGGACTCACTCTGTCACCCAGGTTGGAGTGCAGTGGTGTGATCTCGGCTCACTGTAACCTCTGCCTCCCAGGCTCAAGCGATCCTGCCACCTGAGCCTCCCAAGTAGCTGGGATCACAGGCACATGCCACCATGCCGGGTGAATTTTTTGTATTTTTGGTAGAGATGGTATTTCACCATGTTGCCCAGGCTGGTCTCAAACTCCTAAACTCAGGCAATCCACCTGCCTTGGCCTCCCAAAGTGCTGGATTACAGGCAATGAGCCACCACACCCAGGCTGGATACTTCTTATAAATGAAATAACGTCATATGTGACCTTTTTTTCCTGACTGCTTTTATCTAGTATATTATCAAGGTTCACACATGTAGCATGTATGAGTACTTCATTCCTTTCTACGGTTGAATAATATTTTGTTGTAAGGATATACCACACTTTCTCTATTCACCAGCTGATAGACATCGCTACAAAAATAAGTAGTGGCTGTGGAGGTGCACGTCTGTAGTCCCAGCCACTCGGGAGCCTGAGGCGGGAGGATCACCTGAGCCACGATGTCAAGGCTGCAGTGAGCTATGATAGTGCCACTGCACTCCAGCCTGGGCAACAGGCCTCATCTTTTAAGCAAAGAAAAAAGAGGCCGAGCATGGTGGCTCATGCCCGTAATCCCAACACTTTGGGAGGCTGAAGCGGGCGGATCACCTGAGGTCAGGAGTTCAAGACCAGCCTGGCCAACATGGTAAAACTCTGTCTTTACTAAAAAATACAAAATTTAGCTGGATATGGTGGCGCGCATCTGTAATCCCAGCTAACTGGGAGATTGAGGCAGGAGAATCGCTGGCACCTGGGAGGTGGAGGCTGCAGTGAGCTGAGATCACGCCACTGCACTCCAGCCTGGGTGACAGAGCAAGACTCTGTCTCAAAAACAAAAAAAAAAAAAAAGAAAAAGAAAAAAGAGGCCGAGCATGATGGCTCATGCCTGTAATCCTAACACTTTGGGGGGCCAAGGCAAGAGGATGATTTAAGGTCAGGAGTTCGAGAATAGCCTGGCCAACATGGTGAAACTCTGTCTCTACTAAAAATACAAAAATTAGCCAGGCGTGGTTGCACGTGCCTGTAATCCAGCTACTTGGGAGGCTGAAGCAGGACAATCACCTGAACCCAGGAGGTGGAGGTTGTAGTGAGCTGGGGTCACGCCACTGCACTCCAGCCTGGGAAACAGAGCAAGACCATGTCTAAAAAAAAAAAAAAAGGGGGAAAGAAAAGAAAGAAAAAAAGAGTGCTACTCATTAACAGGAAAGTTGGCTGGGCGCGATGGCTCACGCCTGTAATCCCAGCACTTTGGGAGGCCGAGGCGGGTGGATCACGAGGTCAGGAGATCGAGACCATCCTGGCTAGCACGGTGAAACCCCGTCTCTACTAAAAATACAAAAGATTAGCCGGGCGTGGTGGCGGGCGCCTGTAGTCCCAGCTACTCGGGAGGCTGAGGCAGGAGAATGGCGTGAACCCGGGAGGCGGAGCTTGCAGTGAGCCGAGATCGCGCCACTGCACTCCAGCCTGGGCGACAGAGCGAGACTCCGTCTCAAAAAAGAAAGTCAGTGAAGGGACCTGTTTGGGAAAACAAAGCCCAGGCTCGAAGGAAGCTTGTGCTTCCCTCTGTGAGCAAGTTAAGTCTTAGAAACATCTCCCCGAGCCTCCTTCTCCCACGCGGGTCGTCTGTCCTGCGGCAGCCCCACTGGTTCCTCCCATCAACCAAGGCAGAGAGTGGAAAAGCTCCTCACACTCTTCTGCTTCACACACAGTGAACAAATCCAAACCTCTCTGCCCACATCCCTCCTCACCCGGCTCCACCCGTGTCCGCTGGTCCATCCCCACAGTCTAAGCTCAGCTGGGGACCGAGGACGCCCTGTCTGTGCACTGCACCAACCTCCCTCCTGGCCCCCTACTGGCTCCCATCCCTACTCCAGTCCATCCCTCTCATCACTTCCGAGGCCTCTTCTGACCATCTTACCTGGCTGTGACCCTCCACTGCTCAAATTCCCCCAACGGGGCTCCATCTTCCAAAAATAAGATGCACGTTCCTGTACTTCATGTTCAAGCCTGTTGATGACCAAACCTGATACACTTTCCAGCTTCACAGGCTATGGCTCCCCCTCTGCCACACCAAACTCATCACAGTTACCCACCCCCTGCCACACACACACAACCTCAGTTATTAAACACGTGTAAGTCTTCTGACGGCCGCTCCCTGAGCCAATCCGGATGTAGCTGACACCTCTGCAGAGCTGGTAGACTATGACAAAGAGAAGCCCTCCTGCCTCGTTCCACTCCACTGTAAACGTATGTGTGTCATAGGTCATGAGGAGTCCACATAAACCACTTAGAATCCTTATCAGCACATTGCCTAGTGGCTGGGCTCACGCTGGAGTGTGGTTATGGTTAACCATTAGTGAAACCCTCCCATATTGCATTCTGTGCAGTGATGGGCTTGTAAAAACAGACATCTGTTTCCACTGTGCTTTCTAAAGATTCCCCGGTTTTTTTTTTTTTTTTTTTGAGATGGAGTCTCACTCTGTCACCTAGGCTGGAGTGCTGTGGCGCAATCTCGGCTCACTGCAACCTCCACCTCCCGGGTTCAAGTGATTCTCCTGCCTCAGCCTCCCGAGTAGCTGGGATTACAGGCGTCCACCACCACACCTGGCTGATTTTTTGTGTCTTTAGTAGAGACGGGGTTTCACCATGTTGGCCAGGCTGGTCTCGAACTCCTGACCTCATAATCCACCCACCTCCGCCTCCCAAAGTGCTGGGATTACAGGTGCAAACCACCGTGCCGGGCCGGATTTTCCATTTTCTTAAACATAGCATCCAATAAATCTTCACGGTGCACAAGTCCCCTGAATGACAAGGTCCCAGCTTCCTTTGGCTCACTCTCAGGTCTGAGAACAGCCCACACTGTTTCTGGTGGAGGACACTCTGCGTGCCACACTCACTGTTCACGTCTTGGTCTCTCCATCCCCCAGAAGGACCCCTCACTCCCATGACAGGTGTACGCTGCTCACCTGCTATGAGCATGTTTTCCTCCTTTCCTACAACTTGTCGAAACCGGAGCAGAATTACCTCCTATCTAAACATGGGTAATGTGTCATTAACCCAGGCTCTGTGAGTCCAGCAGGAATCCTATCAGCTTCACCCACGACTCCCCTCCTCCTGGCAGCATGCCTGGATGTGGTAACCACTGAATAAACATCGCCTGATCGCAAGGCTCATGAAAGAAAAGATGCATTACAGAGCTCAGGACATGGAAGGGGCTTGCCTCTAGAATTAGAACAGTGACTGGGCTGTGTCCTAAGGCCCTGCCCTCTCTGGCCTCAGCCTCATGTGCTAGAACAAGGGTCACCCCTGGATGAGAGTTGGGTGAGGTGGAAGCAGGCAGAGTATGGGGAAGTCAAATTTTGACTCAAATGTGGTCTGAAAGGCCCCCAGAGCCTGCTGTCCCCTCAGCCCCATCCTTCAGGGGGAGCAGAGCGAGGCCCTGGGGAAGGGGCTGTTCCCCTCCTGCAAGGCCACTGGTGAGAACACATGACCTGTAACACAGAGCCCGGGGCTCCTTATACCAGCACACCCATCTGCCCTCCAGGCTCTGTGGCTCAATGGTCTAATTCATCTGCACTGCTGGGGACCGTGACAGGCAGGGCCACAACCCCCACCCTCATTGCCCATCTCCCTGCTGTGTGTCCAGGGAAGCCTTAGGTGGACACGGGGTGGTCAGTGACCCCGACCTCTTGGGCCAGAAGCACAAGGCAGAAGGCATGGAGTTGAGACCGGTGAGAGCTCTCCCTGCAGGCCCCAGCGGGCCCCAGAGAGTACGCATCCCCTAAATACCAGTCGCCTCATCTCAGGGGCGTCCAGGCAGCCCTCAGCCCTCCCTCTCAGCACAGCCGGGATCGCCGGTGCTCTCTGGAGACAGCCTGACCCCTCAGCATCACTCAGAGGCCGGTTTTGACAGCTCTGCATTGACCAGGACAAGGGGCTCCCAGCCCGCCAGCGCCTAGATGGGCAGCACCTCCTGGACGTCCCCCTGGGCCATGCGAGCCACCCCCCTGGGGGCCAGCACAGATGCTGCGGTGGACACAATGCCTCCTGCCCAAGGTCGGTCCCCCGTCGCCCCCACCCAACATCCTGGTTGCAAGTGAGGGGCCCCTACCCAGACCCCATCCCGTTCTCTGCTCTGGACCCTGGGCTCAGGGTCGAGAGAGAGAATGATACAGGGATGTGGTCCAAGGAGATCACCAAGAAAGGGAGAGCAAGAGGCCCGGAGATTAAACAGACCCACGCAGGCCAGGCACTGTGGCTCACACCTGTCATCCTAGCGCTTTGGGAGGCGAGTGGATTGCTTGAGGCCAAGGGTTTTAGATCAGCCGGGGCAACACATTGAGACTCCATCTCTACAAATTCTTGAGATGGAGTCTCCCTCTGTTGCCCCGCTCGCTGCCTCTGTAGACAGAGCCCTGAAGACCCTTTTCCTTTCCAAGCCCGTAGGCTTCTCCCCAGAACCGCATACCTCAACTCCCACTCTCCCCTCCCTCCAGGCTGCCGTGGAGCTCCGCAATTGTGAGCTACACCCAGGTGAGCCACCACCTCTCAGACCAGAGACAACTGCAGTCTCTTCCTCCCAGGGGAGCTCCCAGGAGCCCAGTGAGTACGCTGCCCCGGCCATCCACTAGCCCAGACCCCACGCTCCAAGGAAGGAGACCACAGTGAGCCCAGATGGTGCAGCAGCTGGCCCCATGGACACAAGACCACCGTCATTTCCCAAGTAGCAACGCTGAGGGAAGGAAGGGCCAACCACCTAGCTTGAGTAAGCCGCAATGGACTTCTCCACGTGGTTTACAGTAACTTAGCTGTGTTCCAGAACTGTCCCTGCCCTGACCTCAAACCCTGAAGGCCTCCAGATAAGGACCCAATCAACTACAGCCTGCAGCCTGAGGGGGTTGCACAATTTCAGGTTTCTCACTTCCTCAGAAACCAAACCCCTTCCCAACACAGATGATCAACAAGGCTGAGAAAAGGGAAGCCTGCCAACCTCTTGACCGTGAGTCCACAGAAGCACTGAACGCGGAGAGGAGGAACAGACTTCCCTCAACGCCCCTTCTCCTACGCTAACCCACTTCCCCTACATGTGAAGACAAAACTGGGAACTTGCCCAACATCAACCGCATCACAAGCTTTGAAACTAGCAAGCAAATTCTGTGAAGTGTTCCCCAACAATCACCAACAGTTCACCTTCCCCAGCAACCCGTCAGCCTCTGGTCAGCTCCCGTCCCACCTGTCTCTTGCCTGGCGGGGTCAGGGTCCCAGGGCCAGCAGGCAGGGAAGGCCCCCACCTCCACTCGGCGCCTGCCCTGCCTAGCAATGACCGGCTCCCTCCCACCCCTATATGCAAACACCGGCTTACTTGGAATTTCCTTCTGGTTTTGACACAGTTTTTCCAAAAATACCACTCGTCTCTCCCCTGATGACAGAAGTTTCTGGTAAAGATGTGTGTTCACTACTGTAGAATAGTACTGAGAGGCCAGGGACCACTAGCTGGTAGGCACTCCCAAGTGAGTGAGCCTCCCAGGGAAGGCTGCATGTTTAGAGCAGGGGAAAGAGTCAAGGATGAGAGACCCCCACACACCAATTGTAAAGCGCTGATCCTGTTTATTTGGCAGGAAAACGAGACAATCCAGCAGCCCAGGAGGGACAGGTGGACTTAATCCTCCTCCTCGTCGTCTCCAGCCCCAGCCCCACCCTGGCCCTTCTTGGCATTCTTCCTCTTCACGCGGCCCGGGCGGCCACCCCCGTAGGGAGAGCGCAGAGAGAAGTCGATGTGCTTCTGGGAATCCAGGCGGACAATGAAGGACGGGATGTTCACCACCTGCTTGCGGACCCTGGAAGAAGCGACAAGGTGAGGTGGACTGGAGGAGAAACGGACGCTAACCCCAGCTACCGCACCACTCTTTCCTCTCCACCCACCCCGTGAGGCCGCCACGGCTGCAGACACCAAGGCGCTGCAGGAAGGGTGCACCTGATCCTACGTGCGCCCTCCGGGGTTTTAGGGTATCACCTTAATCCCCAAAAATGCTTCAGATGACTTTCTCAACCCCATTTTATAGGAGAAATCTGAAAGTATCCCACCTAAGACCACAAAGCAAATGAGATGGCCATGTGAGAGCCCCCAAGTTCCGAGTCTGAAATATCGTGAACCCCACACCTGACACTGAGCTGTATTACCACGTGCAGCAGCAATGCCCACAATAACACAGCAACCCGAGGCTACGTCTCCGACGAAAGCATTGACACACAAGGCTCTGCCTACGGCTCACAGGGTTAGTGAAGGGCTGGGGCGAAGATTCTAAACGCAAACATCTTGCCCTCTTTCTGTACAGCTCCTCCCCCTCAATGGTGCCACATTACAGAAAGGGCACACTGAGTACCCAGAACGCAGTCATGGATCGGGGTCTGGAATCAACTTCACAAGCGAGCCAGGAGACAGCTGAACCCACCACCCAAGCGAGGTGAGGCTGGTTCTCTCCCTCCACTGGGGACACCAAGAGCTGTTACCTGTCCAGCTGCCCACATGCCTGGCAGAGGCCTTCACAAGGTGTACGGCTAGAGCCGCAGTGACCCTTGCGCTGGGCTATTGGGGCAAGAGGCTGCCCCAGCTCCCTGGTGAGCTGTGTGCAAGGGTGAATCTGTACCCTCTGGGTGAGTTCACACCCATCACCTCCGAGGGCTGCATAGGAGATAGGGACAGCAGGCTTAGTGAGGGCAACCATCAGAGGGGCAGGTGGAGGAAGATTCAGGTGCCCATCCGAGGTGGTACCTGATATGGCGCTGGCGGATCAGCACGCGAGCGTGGTGGATGGACTTGGCCAAGCCCAGCTTGAAGACCTGGGTCTGCAGGCGTCTCTCTAAGAAATCCTCTATCTTCAGGCCCAGGATGTAATCCAGCTTCATCTTGCCCTCATCCAGCACCCCAATGCGGACCAGCCGCCGCAGCAGGGCGTTGCCTGGGAAGAGTGGGAGGAAACACTGATTCCGCCTTCTGACCTCAGGCTTCTTGGGTTCAAATCCTGGCTCCGCCTCTTGGTAGCTCCATGCCGCGGCGGTGAGGCACAAGTAGTACAGCGCCATCACCGTGACCCATGTCACTGTCAAAACCACCCTACGGGCTGGGAGTGGTGGCTCACACCTGTAATCCCAGCACTTCGGGAGTCCGAGACGGATCACTTGAGGTCAGGAGTTTGAGAGACCAGCCCGGCCAACATGGCGAAAGCCCGTCTCCACTAAGATTACGAAAAATTAGCCAGGCCGTTGGCGCACTGCCTGTAATCCCAGCTATTCAGGAGGCTGAGGAAGGAAAACTGCTTGAACCCAGGAGGCGGAGGTTGCAGTGACCTGAGATGGGGCCACTGCACTCCAGCCTGGGCGACAGAGTGAGGCCCTGTCACAAAACAAAACAATACAAAAAACCAAACTACCCTATGGTTGTCAGGTCATCATTCATAGTAAACTGCAGATGACAGGAGGGCAAAATACACCTGCCTCCTCATCTGAGAGCATACATCCCTCGCTCCACATTCTTAGCAAGAGTAAAGGAAATCACCTCCTTACAAGGACTCAGTCTGCAAAAGACCAAATGCAGCTGCTATTAAGCTACTACCACCGTAACAAAGCACAGTGCTGAAGAGTTCATATCCTCAGCCCAGAAAGCTCTTCTGATTAAGCAGATGTGAGATTGAATCACATTCCGTGCCATAAATAGCAGTATCTACATCTTTTAAGGAGAGAAAAGTAATTTCTAACACTAGAATTTTTCCAGCTAAGTACATGTCATTCATTTTACTATTCTGTACAAAATTTTCCACCAAAAATAGATCTAGTATGTATATAACCTAACAATGCACTGCATAAAATATCCAACAGATGCCCTACTACACCTTTCTTCCAACCCCAGGCTCAGGACGGCTTGCTCCTTACCCTGTCCAAAGCCATGGCTTCTAGCTAATACTCTGGACTGCCCTTGCCCACAGCCCCAGGGCCCTGGGGGCAAACGCCATCCCCTAGGCTCCCGCTCACTGCTATAATCCCACACGCCTTCAGCAAATCAACTGCCCCTTGACTGGGGTAAACACCTCAACCTTTTTTCCTTATGTGCACTTTTATAAAAAGTGGCTCTTACTAGTTACAGCAAACCATTCAAGCAAGCTTTCATAAATAGATCTACATGCATCAGGCACTTCTGATATTCCTGGCACTGTTACCCTCCAAGCAAAGTTTGAAAGAAAGCTAGCTCACTTTGTGAGGACCCAAAGTTTTCCCAGTAGGGAGCAGTTACAGGTAGGGAGAATCAAAATGGAAACACCAGCTGTGTGCATTTCCAGCATCCTATGTCATACTATGGCTTCAATTTTTGTTCTTTTTTAACTCAACATCAGAGGATATTTAAACACCTGAATATCAAAATACAAAAACATGTCCAAAAGGCAATGAAAATGAGTTTGGGATCATTTACCTCTTTGGACACTTCACGCCTTTTTGTCTTTACATTAGAAAATGGAAACTTAAGCCACGCACAGTCCCTTATGCCTGGCCTATAAACCCAATATTTTGGGAGGCTGAGGCAGGAGGATCAGTTGAGTCCAGAAGTTTGAAACTAGCCTCGGCAACACAGTGAGACCGCATTTGTACCAAAACAAACAAAAAAGTAAAACTAAATTAGCTGGGCATGGTGGTACATGGTGGATTGTGGTCCCAGCTACTAGAGCTGAGGAGGATCACTTAAGCACAGGAGGTCCAGGCTGCAGTGAGCCACGACCATGCCACTGTGCTCCAGCCCGGGAGACAAAGTGAGATCGTCACCATTAGGCAAAACAAAGGCATGATTTTAAAAAAATGTTTCACATTTATTATCATTTTTGAGACAGAGTTTCGCTCTCGTTGCCCAGGCTGGAGTGCAATGGCGTGATCTCGGCTCACTGCAAACTCCGCCTCCTGGGATTCTCCTGCCTCAGCCTGGGATTACAGGCATGCGCCACCACGCCCCGCTAATTTTGTATTTTTTCAGTAGAGACTAAGGGGTTTCTCCACTTTGGTCAGGCTAGTCTCAAACTCCCGACCTCGGGTGATCCGCCTGCCTCTGCCTCCCAAAGTGCTGGGATTACAGGCATGAGCCACTGCACTCAGGCCCACATTTATTGAACCATCTATCTCCTGAAAAAGAACAGGAGAGTCAGCCACAGGCAAAACCTTTAAGTATGAAGACAATAGTTTTCAACAGCACAATAAACCTTACACCTTCAACAAAAGCATGTCCTACTGCTGAGGCTCCACTGGGCCAATGCACCAAGAGAATTTAAAATGCTTTAAAAATGCAAACCAGGGAGGACCTCAGTGGGAAACAGGTCCTTGTCATCATACAAGGCAGTTAGGTATTACAATGCCTTCATTTCTGATCTGAAAAATGGACATGACTCCTACATTTCTTCACAGTTGTGCTGGGGGGTGGGGGGGGAGTTCGTGTTGTTTTGTGTCTCGCTGTCACCCAGTGCAGTGCCGCGGATCTCGGCTCACTGCAGTCTCTGTCTCCCAGGTTCAATCAATTCTCCTGCCTCAGCCTCCCGAGTAGCTGGGATTATAGGCACACCACCATGCTCGGCTAATTTTTGTATTTTTCGTAGAGATGGAATTTCACCACGTTGGCCAGGCTGGTCTCTGACTTGAGGTCTCCTGACCTCAAGTGATCCGACCACCTCGGTCTCCCAAAGTGCTGGGATTACAGGCATGAGCCACCACGCCTGGCCTCTATCTGTTGATTATTAACTGCCAGCCAAATGTTGGCGGCTGTTCAGTCTTAACAGACGAGACTCAGAATCTCGCTAGTCACACATCTTAGTGGGAAAGGCTGGATCTGAATCAAGGCAGGATTACACCAAAGAGCAAACATCCAAGCTCCTCCTTCCTGTCCCTGACTAGGCTAGATGGCTTCATTTACTAGAAAGTGTACTCACCTGAACAACTGTGTACCCCTTGGGAATTTTCACTTCTGCCTTGGAAAACCACAAATAACCCTCAGACACCTGCACCGCTTTCTCACATGACTGTAAGTTTCATTGCAATTAGGATCTATGTCCAGAAAGTCCTCCCTAAAACCAGAACCAGCTATAGCCCACTCCCCACAGAACCCTGGGATGAATTCCCACCCAGCATCAGTATCTATGGGGGAGGGATCTCCAGCACTTTCATGAGATTATCAACGGGGTCTACAAATTGACGAAAAGAATGAAAGGGTCAGGTGCGGTGGCTTACACCTGTAACCCCAGCACTTTGGAAAGCTGAGGTGGATGGATCACTTGAGGTTAGGAGTTGGAAACCATCCTGGTCAACACTGCAAGATCCTGTGCCTATTTAAAGAAAAAGCTTCTAACATCTGCAAGCCTGGGACAAACTGTGATAATCTGTAGCTAAACATGCGCCAGGACTTTCTCAACGCCTAACATGGATGACCACTCTCATGCCTAACAGTCAGGGCTCAGGTGTAGAGACTGCTTTTCACCATAAATCATGACTACCCAAACTCAGGCAAAAGCAGCGTCTCAGGATATACAAATGCCAATCTTGGTCATGCCAATCTGCTGTAGAAAGCACTCCAATAACACCGCATCTCAGAGTAGATTTTAAAACAAGATGGTTAAGATGGTACATTTTCAATTTAATGTGTATTTCACCACAATTAGTAAAGTAAGCCTAAGTCTATGTGATCTGCATGCCCTCCTAAAGTCATCACCTGAAATGCTGTTCCCTGAGACATTTTACAGGTTCTCTCCTGTTCAGGCCTTTGCTAAATACCACCTAAATGTCCTTGACCAGCTTAAAAAAACAAGCACCAGCCTGGACAACATGGTGAAAACCCATCTCCACTAATAATAGAAAATTAGCCAGGCTTGGTGGCCCATGCCTGTGATTCCAGCTACTTAGGAGGCTAAGACAGGAGAATCGCTTGAACTCTGGAGGCGGAGTTTGCAGTGAGCCAAGATTGCGACAACTACACTCCAGCATGGGCAATGGAGCGAGACTCCGTCTCAAAAGTAAAATTAGCCAGGTGTGGTGGCGTGCGCCTGTCTGTAGTCCCAGCTACTTGGGAGGCTAAGATAGGAGAATTGTTTGAACCCAGGAGGCGGGGGTTGCAGTAAGCCGAAATGGCGCCACGGCACTCCAGCCTGGGCAACAGAGCAAGACTCCGTCTCAAAAGACTAAATAAAACGAGAAAACTTAATTAAAAAAACAATAAACCAAGCAAATGTGCAAACCCTGTTATCACCATCACTTAGCCCAGAAATTCCACTTCATAGTCTACTCTCATCCACTAGCAAACAGGCCACATAAACAGAATATAAAGATATAGACGGGTGCCCAGGTGTGCCAGGCCTATCTTTAGCTCTGGTCATTACTAAACTGAAGGTCCAATAACTGGGCAAAAAAGCCACACACCTAAGAAACAGGGCAAAGACTGATCCAGATACACTTTTCCTACTTCACAAGTGCCACTAAAAGTTAGAAGGCTGGTTCCATTTATCCAATGACACAACTCTCATCACTGGAACAGAGGCAACAGAAGGGAGAATGAACCTCACAAGCCCTGCACCCCATCCCTCTGCTGTGGACTCCCATACGCACCTTCGAACAGACGCCGTGGGTCCTTCTCATCAAGCGTCAGCAGTTCCCGGGCGGCCTTGCGGATCTTGGCCAGGGTAAATTTGACCCTCCAGACCTCACGTTTGTTCCGGAGCCCATACTCGCCTGGTGGGGAGAAGGGGGTGGACAAGTGTAGTCCCACGTACTGGCACAACAACTAGACTGGCAGCTTTGGAATCACAAAACCTTCCTAAACCACGAATAGTACCAAATTTAGGGGACGGACTAGATAGAGTACATGGGCACCTTCATCCACGTGCTAACCGCCTCCCGGAAGCCGAACCACTTCCCGGAAGCCTTGGCCACTCACCGATCAGCTTCAGCTCTTGGTCGAGACGAGATTTCTCGAAGGGTCTCCGCGGGGTCACATAAGTTTTGCGACAAACCCAGCTCCGGGCCACTGGCATGTTGGCTCCGCTTCCCCGTCTGCGCCTGCGCGGGAGAGAAGTGTGAGCGTAAGGGCTCCAAACGGCGCCTGCGCAGTCCCACAACTACGCCAAAACCTCGCGGAGCCCAGATCCGATCTCGCGAGAATAACCTCCAACGCTCTCATAGTCAGTATCTGCCCCCACAACCGTGCTGCACTCCCGTTCAACCACCCTGCTCTGTTTCCTAACGTCTTTAGCTTACTCATGGAAACTCGGAAGGCCCGGGCCACCATCCAACCCAAACCCTAGAGAAAAAGCACACCGCCGCACCTCACCTAAGCAAACCACCCGGTCACTGAGAAAGAGGCGCGCAAGCGCCACGGCTGCGCTCTTATAGTAACGCCGGCGTCTCGTGACGTTTTCACGCACCACGCACGTCAGAGCCAATCAGAAGAGGCGTTGGCTGGCTGAGAAGCAGTGGAGACGTGAGGCTGGGCTAGAGCGGCGTGCTAACCTGGGAGGACTAGGTTTTTTCCGGCCAGGGAGTGGAAACCTGAGAAGTAGGGAGAACCTTCCTTCTCCGCCCCTGGACGGTGGTTTTTCTTTTTCTTTCTGAGACAGGGTCTCGCTCCGTCGCCCAGGCTGGAGTGCAGTGGCGTGATTTCGGCTCACTGAGGCCCCGACCAACCTCTCGGGCTCGAGCGATCCTCCCACCTCCTCCCCAGTAGCTGGGATTACAGGCACACGCCACGACGCCCGGGTAGCATTTTTTTTTTTTTAACAGTCGGCGTCTTGCCATGTTGCCCAGGCTGGTCTTGAACTCCCGGCCTCGAGAGAGCCTCCCGCCGTGGCCCCCCCAAAGTGCTGGGATTACAGGCGTGAGCCACCGCGCCCAGCCGAGATTATTTCTGTCACTAACAATAATGTGGCATTCTGGAACGCTATGTGCCACATACTGTTCTAAGAATTTTAAATGTATTTACTCAATCTTCAATACATACTTACAGAGCACTCTCAGAGAAGTTGCCCCCCCACCCATGGTACTATTATTATCAATAGCCACTTAAGGGGTATTAGTACTATTATCAGTAATTTATTTTATTTTTGAGACGGAGTTTTTCGCTCTCGTCACCCAGGCTGGAGTGCAGTGGTGCGATCTCGGCTCACTGCAACCTCCGCTTCCCGGGTTCAATCGATTCTCGTGCCTCAGCCTCCCGAGAAGCTGGGACTACAGGCGCCCACCACCATGCCCGGCTAATTTTTAAATTTTTAGTAGAGACGGGGTTTTGAACTCCTGGTCTCCAACGCCTGACCTCAAGTGATCCACCCGCCTCAGCCTCCCAAAGTGCTAAGATTACAGGTGTGAGCCACCGCGCCTGACCTAGAGTTCTCTTTTTATATATAGTCTGGTTATTGTCTGTCTGTACACCCATCTCTCCACTCCGAATGCGATGGTCTGTCTCCACAGCTCGTGTTCTTCAGTTGTCTTCCCTACGCTGCTGCCTCGGCAGTCACTATCTCCTCAGGAAGCAGTCCCACCCGCCCCTTTCTCTTCCACGGCATCCACACCATCCGGATGCCTGGATTCAAATGCCACGTCACCACTTGCCAGCTGCAGTGCCTTCGACAAGTTTCTCAATCACTCTGTGCCTCAGCGTCCTCCTCTGTAAAACGGCGAATGATGGTAGCGCCTACCTCATAAGCTTGTGAGGATTAAGTGAGAGTCTATCCAGTGTTGAGGAGAGTGGCATAAATAAAGCGCCTAGTGGTAGCTACCATCGTCATTATTGTCATCTGCATTGTACTTCCATATCTTACAAACTACCTTGTTCAGTTTTATGGGTTTTTTGTTTGTTTGTTTTGTTGTTTTGAGACGGGGTTTTGCCATATTGCCCAGGCTGGTCTTGAACTCCTGGGCTCAAGTGATCCACTCGCCTCAGCCTCCCCAAGTGCTGGGATTACAGGTGTAAGCCACCATGCCTGGCCAAATTTTATGCATTTTTGTATCTTGAACACGCGTATATTATTCATCTGGAAGGGGGAAACGTGGAAGGAAAAAACTTCCATAAGTTTTCACTCCCTTCAGGATGAAGTCCAAGCTCCACAAATTCCGGGTGCCTCGTGATTACAGAGATGGTTTTATAATGGTGGTTGAACCTGTAGGTTCTCAAGTCTTAAAAAAGATCTGCGTTTGAACCTCAGCAGTCACTGACGAGCTCTTGATCTTAGGCAAATTAGCCTCTTCAAGAGTGCTAAATGGGAGAAAGTAACAGGACTTTCCTCATAGGGTTTGATGATTTAGAGTAAAAAAAAAAAAAAAAGAAAAGAAAACCAGCACAGAGTCTTGTGTACTGAAGGTGCTTAATATCTTAACACAGCTGACTCTGTACAGTCTGGGGGCGAGGGGCACTGACCCCCAGCTCAGCCGAAAACCTCCATATAGGCTGGGCGCGGTGCCTCACGCCTGTAATCCCAGCACTATGTGGAAGGCCAAGGCCGGCGGATCAACTGAGGTCAGGAGTTCGAGACCAGCCTGGCCAACATGACAAAACCTGGTCTCTACTAAAAATACAAAAATTAGGCAGGCGTGGTGGCAGGTGCCTGTAATCCCAGCTACTTAGGAGGTTGAGGCAAGAGCATCGCTTGAACCCAGGACGTGGAGATTGCAGTGAGCCGAGATCGCACCACTGCACTCCATCCTGGGCGACAGAGCAAGACTGCCTCAAAAAAAAAAAAAAAAAAATCAAGAAAGAAAATCTGCATATAACTTTTGACTTCCCCAAAACTTAACTACTAGGCCAGGCACCGTGGCTCACACCTGTAACCCCAGGTGGGATTTGGGAAGCTGAGGTGGGCAGAGCACTTGAGCCCAGGAGTTCAAGACCAGCCTGGGCAACACGGCAAAACCCAGACTCTACAGAAAACAGAAAAATTAACTGGGTGTGGTGGTGTGTGCCCGTAGTTCCAGCTACTTGGGAGGCTGTGGTGGGAGGACTGCTTGAGTCAAGGAGGTTGAGGCAGCAGCGAACTAAGATCATGCCCCTGCACCCCAGCCCAGCTGGCAGAGCAAGACACTGTCTCAGGATTTAAAAAAAACATTACTCGTAGTTGACTGGAAGCCTTACCAATAACATAGTCAATTAACACATATTTTATACGCTATATGTATTATATTCTGTATTCCTATGATGAATTAAGCTAGAGAAAAGAAAATATTGGCCGGGCGTGATGGCTCATGCCTGTTACCCCAGCACTTTGGGAGGCTAAGGCGGGCGGATCACCAGGTCAGGAGATCGAGACCATCCTGGCTAACACGGTGAAACCCCATCTCTACTAAAAATACAAAAAATTTGCCGGGCGTGGTGGCAGGCACCTGTAGTCCCAGCTACCGGGGAGGCTGAGGCAGGAGAATGGCGTGAACCCGGGAGGCGGAGCTTGCAGTGAGCTAAGATCGCGCCACTGCACTCCAGCTTGGGTGACAGAGCGAGACTTCGTCTCAAAAAAAAAAAAAAAAGAAAATATTAAGAAAATTCTAAAAAAGAGAAAATATATTTACTATTCATTAAGTGGAAGTGGATCATCATAAAGGTCTTCATCCTTGTCTTCATTCTGAGTAGGCAGAGGTGCAGAAAGAAGAGGAGGGTTTGGTCTTGCTGTCTCAGGGTGCCAGAGGTGGAGGAGGTAAAAGGCAAAGCAGGAGAGGCAGGCATGCTCTGTGTAACCTTTACTTTTTTCAATCTGCATAAAAGTGGACCCGAGCAGTTCAGACCCATGTTGCTCAAGGGTCAACTGATGAGATCTGGCCTCACCCTGATCCTCTTCAGAAGCATGGTCCAGTCATATGGCACCAGGCCCTCTTCCACAAACCCCTCATGCTTCCTCCTCTCTCTCTCTCACTCAGGCTGGAGCCCTCTAGCCCTTCCTCTCTGAAAGGAGCACGGGTAATATAAGAGGAACCCTTGGTTTCCATCATGGGTTGCCAAGGACCAGCTGGGCATGCTTGGGGAGCTGAATTCCTTTCCTTTTGTACAAGTGTAATAAAATCTAATTATGCCCCATCCATAGGACGCAAAACCATGTAGCTGTTGGCAAAAATGAGACAAGCCTGGGCATATCCAATAAGCAAGATGCAGAAGTGTGCATAGTATGCTACAATTTTCATTAATAAAAATGACCTTAACGTATGTATATTTATTTAAAATATGCTTAGAAAGTCATGTAGGAGAAATTATAATTTCCAAATTGTCTCAGCCCTGATTTAAAAATTATAGTTTAAGCCACTCATTTATTTAGCAACAATGTATTGACTGCTGTGTGCCAGGAACTGTTCTTGGACCTGGGGATACTGCATGAACAAGGGTAAATAAAACAAAAACCAAAACCAAAACCTTGTCCTTAACTAGAAACAAATGCCAATCACCTGATGAATGGATAAATAAAATGGGGTTATGTCCATACAATGGAATATCCAGCAGTAAAGAGGAACAAAGCTGGCCGGGCACGGTGGCTCATGTCTATAATCCTAGCACTTTGGGAGGCTGAGGTGGGCGGATTGCCTGAGCTCAGGAGTTCGAGCCTGGGCAATTATGGTGAAACCCTGTCTCTACTAAAATACAAAAAATTAGCCTGACGTGGTGGCAGGCGCCTGTAATCCCAGGTACTTGGGAGGCTGAGGTGGGAGAATCGCTTGAACCCACTTGAACCCAGGAGGCAGAGGCTGCAGTGGGCCGAGATTGTGCCACTGCACTCCAGCCTGGGCAACAGAGCAAGACTCTGTCTCAAAAATAAAAAAAATAAATAATAATAATAATAATAAGCAAGGAAGAGAATGCACATGGCCAGTTCATGAGGAAGCTGCAAAGTAGGACCTTTGAGTTTTACTCTGAGATGGAAAACTCCAGGAAAGTTTTAGACAGAGCTGTGACATGGTCTGACTTATCTTTTAATATGATGATTCTGGCCGGGCGCGGTGGCTCACGCCTGTAACCCCAGCACTTTGGGAGGCCGAGGCGGGTGGATCACAAGGTCAGGAGATCGAGACCATCCTGGCTAACATGGTGAAACCCCGTCTCTACTAAAAATACAAAAAATTAGCCAGGTGAGGTGGCGGGCGCCTGTAGTCCCGGCTACTAGGGAGGCTGAGGCAGGAGAATGGCGTGAATCCGGGAGGCGGAGCTTGCAGTGAGCAGAGATCGCGCCACTGCACTCCAGCCTGGGCGACAGCGAGACTCCGCCTCAAAAAAAAAAAAAAAAAAAAAAACAAAAAAAAAAACGATGATTCTGGCTGCTCTGTTGAAAACAGACAACAGAGGGGCAAGAATGGAAGGCAGGGGATGAGTTAGGAAGCTATCAATATCAAATGAGCCATGGTTTGGTTTTTCTAAGATACTGGCAGTGAAGGTGGAGGGTGGGGCCTAACTGTGGATCCACAGTGCTTTGAACATGGCACCTATAGAATTTGTTGACTGACAACATGGGGGGACACCAGTCACAAAAGTTTTTTTTTGTTTGTTTGTTTTAAATAGAGATGAGATGAGGTCTCACTATGTTCAGCCAAGGCTGGTCTCAAACTCCTGAGCTCAGCGGCTCAACTGATCTTCCCACCTTGGCCTCCCAAAGTGCTAGGATTACAGGTCTGAGCCACCACATCTGGCCACAGGAGTTTTAAATGAGGAACTTTTCAGAGGAGAGACTCATGACAGAGGGAATGAGACTTCTAAGTACTTTGTTGTAGAGAGGAGAAAGGGTGGAGAATAGACTTACAAAGCCAATTATGAAGCAGGCACAAAGAGAGTATTGGCCAGACAGGGGTTAGCGTCATTTTTTTTCTTTTCTTTTTATTTTTTTGAGATGGAGTTTAGCTCTTGTTGCCCAGGCTGGAGTGTAGTAGTGCGATCTTGGCTCACTGCAACCTCTGCCTCCTGGATTCAAGTGATTCTCCTGCCTTAGGCTCCTGAGTAGCTAGGAGTACAGGCGCATGCCACCACGCCCGGCTAATTTTTTTTTTTGTATTTTTAGTAGAGATGGGGTTTCACCATATTGGCCAGGCTGATCTCAAACTCATCTGCCCACCTCAGCCTCCCAAAGTGCTGGGATTACAGGTGTGAGCCACCACGCCTGGCCCAGTGTCATATTTTAAATTAATCTAAACTTACAGGAAATTGAGATTCTATGAAGTCTGTTTACTGGGAATGGCAAGAAAGAGGGGAGATGGGAGTCTCTCTAAACCTATTCTGGTTCCAGAGGCTGCTCAATTCACACAAAAAAGAGAAAGAATGAAACATGGGGGGAAGAAATGGAAGAACTAGAGGTGGAGACTTTCAGCCCCAGAATTTTACCATGTGGAAGTTTTTGTTTGTTTTTGTTTTTTTGAGACAGTGTCTAGCTCTGTCGCCCAGACTGGAGTGCAGTGGCGTGACCTTGGCTCACTGCAACCTCCACCTCCCAGATTCAAGTGATTCTCCTGCCTCAGCCTCCGGAGTAGCTAGGATTACAGGCGCCCGCCACCACGCCCGGCTAATTTTTGTATTTTTCATAGAGGCGGGCCATGTTGGCCAGGATGCTCTGGAACTCCTGACCTCATGATCCGCCCGCCTTGGTCTCCCAAAGTGCTGGGATTACAAGCATAAGCCACCACGCCCAGACTCACCATGTGAATGTATTACACTGACAAAATAAACGTGACAAAATAAAACTGCACATTGATAAGATAAAGGTGTAATTATTGGAATAGTGGTAGTGTTCTAGTACTTTCTTAAGCAAAAACATGGGTAAATGATTTCATAAGTGCAAATTTTTTACAAATACATGTGTTTTAGCTTTTATAAAAATTGCAGAATATAACACATCCAAAAAAGAGTCTAAAATATAAATATACAGTATCAAAAAAATTCTCCACCACTACCCAGGCCATGAAAAAGCAGAACGCCTTCCAGAGTCCTTCCTTTCTCCCCAGGCTCTGAACTCCTAAAATTACAATACTCATTTCCTTTCATAATATATATATATATACACACACATATATATACATACATGTGTGTATATTTACATATATACACACACACATATATATATTTTTTGAGACAGGTTCTTGCTCTGTCTCCCAGGCTGGAGGGCAGTGGTGCAATCACAGCTCACAGCAGCCTCAACTTCCCAGGCTCAAGGGATCCCTGGCTAATTTTTTTTTAAATTATTTTTTGTAGAGACTGGGTATTACAATGTTGCCAGAGCTGGTCTCAAACTCCTGGGCTCAAGCGATCCCCCTGCCTTGGCCTCCAAAAGTTCTGTGGGATTACAGGTGTGGGTCATCGTGCCCAGCCTATATTTTTATTTATAACGTTTGTATGCATCTGGGAAATTTCATAGAAATCTTTTCAAGAGGAAGTTTAGTGAGGTAGAAAGAGTGCAGATTTAGGAGTCAGAAAAACCAATTTTGAAAGGCCAGGCCTGCTATTTACTAAGTGTGTGACTTTGGGCAAGTCAGTCCCCCCCCTCCAGGCCTTTTTCTCACCTGTACATGCAGATGAGACCATCCACGGGTTCCAGGACTGTCGCAAACATTCAAATCATGAACATTTATATACCAAGTTTATTGAGACCTCCTGAGACTTAAACCCTGTAGAAAACAGATGAATCAAACCCAGGCCCCATTCTCGGGAAGCTCACAGTGTGAAAATAGGTAACTACAAAAACACAGCCAATAAGTGCTTTGAAACAAGGAAGAACATAAAAAAGATGTAGTGTTCGAAAACCTGGAATCAAAAACTAACCGCGGAGAAAGGTAGGAGGATGTTCTAGACTCCCAGAGAAGAGCTGGGGAACATCCAGAAAGGCTCTTGCTGCCGACACAGCCACATCCCCTAGGTCTCTGGAGTTCACTGCAGGCTGGCCCATTGCAGGGAGGTGTAGACCACCTTACCATCAGGCTGCGGAGAACAGAGGAGCAGGGTCTTTCTGACGCTGGTTCCAAGGCGCCCAGCAGCAACCAGGTCTTGGAGTGGGATGGTGTCCTCGGGGGCCCAGCACTGAGCGATATAATGGGCGTGGAAGCGGAGGGGGTCACCTGGGGGAAGGAGAGAGGCACTGAAGCAGTGACCAATGGCAGACGGCTGGACGCCACGGGAACGACCACTGGGAGGAGATCTGAGATCATTTCAGCCATCACTATAGATACTCTAAAACAGATGCTCTTGGACACAACTATTCCACTTCTAGGCTTTTTTTTTTTTTTTTTTTTGAGACAAAGTCTCGCTCTTGTCCCCCAGGCTGGAGTGCAATGGCACGATCTTGGCTCACTACAACCTCTGCCCCCTGGGTTCACATGATTCTCCTGCTTCAGCCTCCCGAGTAGCTGGAAATACAGGCACCCACCACCACGCCCAGTTAGTTTTAGTATTTTTAGTAGAGATGGGGTTTCACCATGTTGGCCAGACTGGTATCAAACTCCTGACCTCAGGTGATCCACCTGTCTTGGCCTCCCAAAGTGTTGGGATTACAGGCGTGAGCCATTGCGCCCAGCCTGATGTCTAACTACTTCTAAGTGAATCTTCTGGATCACAGTAATCATTTAATAAAAGTCGTTAAACTGCTTGCCCAATGAGTTCAGGAGCTCCCAAATGTTTCCTGTCTGTCTATGAATTTCAGAGGCTAAGAGAAAGTGAGACAAAAAAGAAAAATGCAGCTGGGCCTATAATTCCAGCACTTTGGGGGGCCGAGGTGGAAGGATTGCTTGAGCCCAGGAATAGGGACCAGCCTAAGCAACAAGAGACCCCACCTCTATTAAGACAAAAAAAAAAAAAAGAAAAACGCAGAATACATTGGGATCGTATGGAAAGGCACAGCAACCAGAGGCCCCAACCCATACTCACCAGGATAGACCAGGAAGTCACCTCCGAACTTGCCAGCCGCACTGAGGAAGAAGCCTCGCTCCCACAGGTCTCTGTAGATACTGTAGCGCAGCTCGTGGGCAGGGCGGCCGGCGTGGGGCCAGTCTTTAGACTGGACACGCCAGTCCAGGGGCCTGGCCTTGACCGGTCGAGGCCTGGCAGTGGCCAGCTGGACAAGGAGAGCAGATCTGGGCAAGGGGGCTACCCCATTTGAGGGTCCTGCTTGGGAAGACGAGGGGCCTGGTGGGGAGTACAGAGAAGAGTTTGGTAAATTCAAGGGGTAAAGTCTTCTCACCCTCAGGGAGACCCAGGCACTGGATTCCCAGCTAAAATTCCTAAAAGATCTCTCCTCTCCTTCCCGTGGTCCCTGGACTCCACCTCCCATGCTCACCAGCTTCCTCCTGCTCTCCCGAAGCCTGGCCATCACTGGTCTCATCCTCTTTGGCAGCCTGGCTCGAGCCGGCCTCCTGGCTTGAGCTGGCCCCTGAAGCCTGTTCTAGTTTCTGCTTCTTAGCAGCCTGGCCCTCCGTAATCTTCTCCAGGAGCTCCTGACGACGGGTCTCCCGGGCCTCAGCTGCCAAGGCGCTCTGCTCCTGGAAGCTCTCCTCTTGCTGGCGCTTGAAGGATGTCAGGGCCTGAGAAGCACACTTCGCTGGAACCTCCAAGCTTATGGTCCCTTCAGAAGCCAGGAAACTTGACTCCCAGGTCCCGCTCCCACCGAACCCGAGTTCGAGCCCCGCCCCCTTACCAGGCTGTGGTGCCGAGAGTCTGGACGCGGGGCGCTGACCAGAGTCACGGCGCCGATCTCGGCCAAGAGCCGCGCCTCTTCGGGCATCAGCAGCAGCGGGAGGCCCAGGCGCGAGTTCTGGCGGGGCCCGCGGGGCAGGGCGCCTACCGTGCGGCCCCCCACACCCAGGCGCTCCCGGAGGGCCTGCACCGCCTCGGCTCCCCACACCAGGGAGCGGCCGTTCGCCACCTCCACCACCAGCATCCTCCTGCGGGAGCCGGGAGGCAAAGCAGTTACCGAAACAGCTGCGCGCCGCAGACCGCTGCAGCGCACCCAAAGCCTCCGGGGTCTCGGCGAAGCCCCGCCCCTAGGCCTCAGGGGGCGGGGCCTCGCTCAGCCGCCGTTCACCACCTGCTGGGCCCGAGCGCCAGGCCCCGCCCCCGGGCGATCCCACCAGGCCTCGCGGCCGCCGGAGACGAGACGCCGGAGACAAGCCCCCGACCCTCGCCCCTCGCCAAGCCCCCAGGGTCCCGCTCTACCCTTGTGACCCTGCGGTCGGCACCCGCTCTGTGCCCGCACTGCCGTACCTACCATTGCGCCTTGGAGCGTGAAAAACAAACCTCCGCAAGCGCGGCGACACGCCCCCTTACAAAGGTCCATTTTGGCACCACCCTCTTGCAAAGTGGGCGTCCCCCTTCGGGTGTTCCCGTCAGCGGTCAGAAGCTCTGGAGGCTAAGGCACCGCCGAGGCCACACCCTCTTCCGGACGCTCGAGCCTTCGCTCCTCCTCTTTCCGAACGACTGTGATTCGGCTTTCGGACCTCCTCGCTCTCAGACTCCCACAGTACAAAACCCTGCCCCCTCCCGAGCACAGGAAGTTCGGCGTTCGGGCGTCCTCGGCTCCACCGAATCCGCAGCCCCGCCCCCTTCCCGAACGCCAGCAATTTGACGTTCGGGTGTTCTCGGCTCGGCCGAATCCGTAGCCCCGCCTCCTCCCGGACGCAATAGGTTCGGCGTTCGGGCGTCATCGGCTCCCGGCAGCCTCGCGGCCTGTGGCCCCGCCCCCTCCGAGCGCCAGCGCACCCCAGTTGGGGAGTTCCCGCCCTACGACCGAACCCCACAGCCGAAAGCCCCGCCCCCTGGACACCCGCCGTCCACTCTCCGCTCGGGCGGGCTCACCCCAATTGGGAGCGCTCAGTCCGCCTCCTTGCCTCCCTTCAGAATGTCCCACTGTCCACCGATAGAACCAGCGAGTCACCTCATAAACAGTAATTCGCAGTCGAGGTGGAGCCACCCACTGCGCACCGCGCCACGCGCTCCTTGCTCCACCCCCTCATGCCGACACCCTCGTCAACTTCGTCATCCCGCCCCATCAGCGCCGCGGGAAGTCAGGTCCCGCCCCTCGCAGGACCGAAGCCCCGCCCTCCTCCCGCGGGGGCCACCTTGGCTCCGCCCCACTGAGCGCACCTCCCTCTGCCGCTTCCTCTCCTCTACTTGGGAACTTGAGGATCGTCACCCTGGCCCGGTCCCGTAGGCGCACGCCGGCCCTCGGGGTTCCGCCCCTTTGAGGGCAAGTCGCTTTCGCCCCGCCCCCTTGTAAATACTCATGGGTATCTGGCGAACCTGTTGACTCCGCCTATCATCCTAGCGTCACTTGTACCCAACTATCTACGAAGTAAACCGAAGCTTGTGGCCCCACCCACATCCGGCCGAGTCTGTGGCCCCGCCCACATCGGAACAGTGACCCTAAGGACTCGACTACCTCCGAAGAAAGCCGAAACATGTGGCTCCGCCCACACTGGCCTCAGCTCTCCGTTCTCGACTATTGCCGAAGTGAGCCGAAGTTTGTGGCCCCGCTTCCGGAGAACTCAAGCTCCCGATTGTGCCCGAAGGAACCCGAAGGGAGACCCCGCCTCATTCCTCACGGCGAGCTCCAGACCCCGCCTCCTTTCCGGAGCCCGTCTGTTCCCCTTCGGGTCCAAAGCTTTTGGCTCCTCCTTGTTCCGAGCCCGAAGGCCCGCCCCTTCACGTACTCGGAGCTCGGATCCCAGTGTGGACCTGGACTCGAATCCCGTTGCCGACTCGCGCTCTCGGCTTCTGCTCCGGGGCTTCTTCCCTGCCCGCCCGGGGCCCTGACCGTGGCTTCTTCCCCGGCCTGATCTGCGCAGCCCGGCGGGCGCCCAGAAGGAGCAGGCGGCGCGGGGGCGCGCTGGGCGGGGGAGGCGTGGCCGGAGCTGCGGCGGCAAGCGGGCTGGGACTGCTCGGCCGCCTCCTGCCCGGCGAGCAGCTCAGGTGGGCCAGGGTGGCGGCGCCCAGTGGCGAGGCGAGGTTACACGGCGGCAGGGTCTCTGCGGGCTGGCGGGTGCGGGGCGGCCCCGGAGGCGCGTTGGAACTCGGGGCTGGCGCAACCGCCTGTGGCTCTGCCGGGGATGCGCTGGGGTGCGCGGGACGGGTTGGGGCTGGGCCTGGGCCTGGGCCTGGGGAGGGGAGGGTGTTCGATCCCCGGGTTCTCAGTAGGAGAGGGGTGTGGAGCTCCGAAGGAGGTGCAGGTTGGAGACCCGGGCTCCTCTGGGTGGTCTCGAAGAAGGGCTGGGGGGTCCGGATATCTGGTTTCACAAGGGCCGGGGGATGGGGGATCCAAAGAGGGGGTCTGGGTTCCTGGATCCTCGCTGGAAGAGGGGGCTCGGAGGTCTAGATTCCTGGGCTGTCGAAGAGGAAGGGTCCGGGAGGGGTGCCGTTTCTGGGTTTTTAAAAGAGGGGCGTCTTCAAATCTGGGTCCCCAGTATGGGTGCGGGGAGTAGCTTTGATTTCTGCGTTCGCAAAGGAGGGGCTTGGGTGCTGGGAGATCCCCACACTTTCCTGGGTTCTCCAAGGACAGGAGAGCTGGAGGCCTGTGCGCTCAAAGGAGGGGCTGGGGGTGGATTCCTGTCTCCTCCAAGGAGGAAGGGGCTGGAGTCCGGGTTGCTAGGTTCTCAAAGGAGAGGAGCTGAGGCTCATACTCCATCATCCTCAAAAACTGGGGTCTAGAAGGCTGGGTTCCTGGATCCTCGAAGAGGGAGGAGGCAGGGGGCCTGGATTCCTGGGTTCTCACTGTGAATCTCTGCCCCTCCCCCAGACCATGTCGCCTGAAGAATGGACGTATCTAGTGGTTCTTCTTATCTCCATCCCCATCGGCTTCCTCTTTAAGAAAGCCGGTGAGTCAGGCTCCCTCCCCAGTGGAAAATAAAGGGGGGGGACCCTCTGGAAGGTTCCAGGCTTATGCTGTCCCTTCCCCCTGCAGGTCCTGGGCTGAAGAGATGGGGAGCAGCCGCTGTGGGCCTGGGGCTCACCCTGTTCACCTGTGGCCCCCACACTTTGCATTCTCTGGTCACCATCCTCGGGACCTGGGCCCTCATTCAGGCCCAGCCCTGGTGAGAATTTGGTGGAGGGAGGAGAGGGAGAGGAGGGGAGAGGGGGAAGCAACCTGTTTCCTCTTTGAGTCTTTTTCAGCTTCTGCCTCATCTCTAGCTGTCTCTTGTTGATCAGCTCATTTCTCTGTTTCATGTTTGTTTGTTTGTTTGTTTTTCTTTCTTTCTTTCTTTTTGAGATGGAGTTTCGCTCCTGTTGCCCAGGCTGCAGTTCAGTGGCACGATCTTGGCTCACTGCAACCTCCACCTCCCGGGTTCAAGCGATTCTCTTGCCTCAGCCTCCCAAGTAGCTGGGACTACAGGCATGCTCCACCACGCCTGGCTAATCTTGAATTTTTAATAGAGCCGGGGTTTCTCCATGTTGGTCAGGCTGATCTCGAACTCCTGACCTTGTGATCTGCCCACCTCAGCCTTCCAAAGTGCTGGGATTACAGGCGTGAGCCACCGTATCCGGCCTTCATCTGCTTTTCTTTCTCCCCTGCCTTCTGCGTCTGGTCCCTGTGTGTTTGTCCCAGTCCGCTACATCCATGTCATGGAGAGAGGTGGACAGTGTGTCTGCTGGCCTGGCCACCGTTCATATTCATTCATATCCACCTCTCTCTTCTTGAGCCCTGGACCTCGGAAATAAAGAAAAAGTGGAGGATTGCAGGGTCTTCACCTGAAGCTTCTCTTAACCTCATTCTCTGTTGGTGTGTGTTTCTATGTGGCTGAGCCTCTTCTCCCACTGTTTCAATCATACTCATTCGGTCCCTACATCCACCCTCCTGTCCTCTCTGCCCTTCTGTGTTTCTGTCTCTAAACGAATGGGGAGAGCTGGGGGAGGATTGGTGGCTGGACTCGTGGAGTGAATGGCCAAGGCCGAGACTTCTGTGCCCAACACAGTGCGCCTCCTGCTTTTGCCCAGCTCCTGCCACGCCCTGGCTCTGGCCTGGACTTTCTCCTATCTCCTGTTCTTCCGAGCCCTCAGCCTCCTGGGCCTGCCCACTCCCACGCCCTTCACCAATGCCGTCCAGCTGCTGCTGACGCTGAAGGTCAGACTCGGGGCTTGCCACTCCCCTCCAGCCTCCCTGTGGGCCCCTTCACCTCCCACTTTACCTCCCCCTTCAGTGGCTCCCCGGGATTTTACCTCCAACACACCCTGGGGGTGGGACGTCACCTCACTTGCTGCCCTGGGCACAGCATTCCCCATTCACATGCCCTTGGGCAGGTCTTCACCTCCCAGCTCCTCCTGGGGTGAGGAAATAACCCACATAGGTAACAGTAGGTGCCATTGGGTGCTTGCGGTGTGCCAGAGGCCCAGCTGGGTGGTTTACCAACATGCTGTCCTTGAATCTCTGTAGCCAGCTATTTTGCAAAGGAGAAAAACCAGCTCTGGGGAGAAGGTACTTGGTGAAGGGAACAAAACTAGGGCATCCAGGTCTGGCTCCTAATCACCTGGGAAGAGGGGTAAAAACAGAATCCTAGGGCCCACCCCAGACCCACAGAGTCATGGTTTCCTACTGGCGGCTTATCCGTGAACACAGCAGTCATGCTAGGTAGGGAGTGGCCTTCCCAGCATTCAGTGTGCCCTGTGGGAGCTCAGTGGTGGCAGGAGTAGGTTGGATGAGAGAGGGGTTCGTGGAGGAGCATTTCAGGCCGCAGGATGTGTGGAGGGGAGCAGGCTGGGTTCCACAGGCTACACCAGCCACATCCACTTTCTGGGACGAGCAAAAGGGAACAGGCAGCAGGGCTGACACCGTGCTAGGCCTGGCTGGAGACCGTGAGGACATTGGACTTCTTCCCGTGGAGGATTGAGATCTGCTGGAAGAGGGGATTTTTGGTTTGCTGCCAGAAGAGGCAATGTGACCAGTTTTAAATGTTTAAAAATACTCGTTCTGGCTGGGCACAGTAGCTCACGCCTGTAATGCCAGCACTTTGGGAGGCTGAGGCAGGCGGATCACCTGAGGTCGGGAGTTCAAGACCAGCCTGACCAAAATGGAGAAACCCTGTCTCTACTAAAAATACAAAAGATTAGCTGGGCGTGGTGGCACATACCTGTAATCCCAGCTACTCGGGAGGCTGAGGCAGGAGAATTGCTTGAACCCAGGAGGCGGAGGTTGTGGTGAGCTGAGATCGTACCATTGCACTCCAGCCTGGGCAACAAGAGCAAAACTCCATCTCAAAAATAAATAAACAAATAGAAATACTCATTCTAGGCCAGCTGCGGTGGCTCACGCCTGTAATCCCAGCACTTTGGGAGGCTGACGCGGGTAGATCACCTGAGGTTAGGAGTTTGAGACCATCCTGGCCAACATGGTAAAACTCCGTCTCTACTAAAAATACAAAAATGAGCCGGGTGTGGTGGCTCACACCTGTAATCCCAGCTACTCAGGAGGCTGAGGCAGGATAATTGCTTGAACCTGGAAGGTGGAGGTTGCAGTGAGCCAAGATCCCGCCATTGCACTCCAGCCTGGGCCTTCCCGGGCAAGATTCCATCTCAAAAAAAAAAGAAAAGAAAAGAAAGAAAACTCGTTCTGGATGCTGAAGGAGAATTGAAGTGGAACAGGGCAAGATGGGATGGACTCAGATAAAGGGATCCTCCTTTGTCCGAGTCCAGGTGACAAACTGTGGTGGCTTGATACAGGCCGTTGGCTGGCTGTGGGTAGGTCTGAGTTGCAGCAGGAAACGCGCATTTAGGATGACTGAAGGAGTGGCCACCAATTGGGCAGGATGTAGAAGAGCAAGAAGGGATGGTGCCTGAACCCCAGCCCCGCAGAAGGAGCCGTTCCCAACCCTAGGCCCAGGGGAAATGGGTCAGGTTGTGGTACCTGGATGGAAAAAGGGTTGTGTAGGCCTGGTGCAGTGGCTCATACTTGTATAATCCCAGCGCTTTGGGAGGTCATAGTGGGAGGACTGCTGGAGGCCAGGAGTTTAAGACCAGCCTGGGCAATATAGTGAGACCCTGTCTCTACAAAAAATTAATTTTTTAAATGTTATTTATTTTTAAAGATGGAGTCTCGCTCTGTTGCCCAGGCTGGAGTGCAGTGGTGTGATCTCACTGCAACCTCTGCCTCTCGGGTTCGAGCGATTCTCCTGCCTCAGCCTCTCGAGTAGCTGGGACTACAGGCGCCCACCACCACGCCTTGCTAATTTTTATATTTTTAGTAGAGATGGGGTTTCACCATGTTGGCCGGGCTGGTCTCAAACCCCTGACATCAAGTGATCTGCCTGCCTAGGCCAACCAAAGTGCTAGTGTTATAGGTGTGAGCCGTCACACCTGGCCCTAAATTTTTTTTTTTTTTTTTTTTTTGAGACGGAGTTTCACTCCTGTTGCCCAGGCTGGAGTGCAATGGTACGATCTTGGCTTACCGCAACCTCCGCCTCCCAGGTTCAAGCGATTCTCCTGCCTCAGCCTCCTGAGTAGCTGGAATTACAGGCACTCACCACCATGCCCGGCTAATTTTTTGTATTTTTAGTAGAGACAGGGTTTTTCCATGTTGGTCAGGCTGATCTCGAACTCCCAACCTCAGGTGATCCGCCTGCCTCGGCCTCCCAAAGTGCTGGGATTACAGGCGTGAGCCACCGCGCCCGGCCAAAATTATTTTTTTTAAAGGGTGTGTAGAGCCACCCACCTTGAAATGATCTATCAAGGGTGACAGCCAGCCCAAGGCCATCTTACAAGGGAATAAAAGCCCTACCCTCCCTCTCCTGACTTTGTCTCCAGCCAGGGATTTCTACTGACAACCCAGCCACAAGCTGGAAGAAGGAGATCTATTGATATAGGGTGGACCTTGGGACTGGTGGGAAAGGGTGGAGAGTACAACATATTCAGCTCAGTAGTGGAGATGGAAAGAGGCAACAGACTCAAACTTAAGGGATTTCAAGGCGGGCAGATCACTTGAGGCCAGGAGTTCGAGACCAGCCTGGCCAGCTGAGGCATGAGAATTGCTTGCGCCCCCAGGAGGTGGGGGTTGCAGTGAGCCGAGATCACACCAGTATACTCCAGCCTGGGTGACAGAGCAAAACTTGTCTCAAAAAAAAAAAAAAAAAAAAAGAGAGATTAAAGGATCGGATTTGGGGAGTGAGGGAGATTTTTGGCTTGAACAATTTGGTGGCCTGTTGTTTGAGGGGAGACACTAGAAGAGGGTCTACCTTGTGGGGTGGGTAACATCATGTTCCGTTTCCAGTGCGTTTGGGGTGCCTGGAGACATCCGAGTATAAATGCCAATAAGCCACTTGATTGGATAGGTCTGGGGCTGGGGTAGCGTTTGGGCGTCCTCAGCGTGTGGATAGTATCGAAACCTCCGTGATTGCGTGAGAGCAGGTAAGCACAGAACAGGGAAAGGGGAGGAGGGCCTGGGACTGAGCCCTGGGGAACACCGCCCAGCTAGAGGCGTTACACACAACCTAGATGGGCAGAGCTGCGGGCACCCAGCACCCCTTGGCTGCCGAGGGCAGCCGCGCAAGGGAGATGGGTGTGGGGAAGGGCCCAGAGTCTGACCTGGCCCCTTGCCCACCCCCTTCTGCCCAGCTGGTGAGCCTGGCCAGTGAAGTCCAGGACCTGCATCTGGCCCAGAGGAAGGAAATGGCCTCAGGCTTCAGCAAGGGGCCCACCCTGGGGCTGCTGCCCGACGTGCCCTCCCTGATGGAGACACTCAGCTACAGCTACTGCTACGTGGGAATCATGACAGGTGAGTGGGGCTGCCCTAACAACTCTGCCGCTCTGTCTCCTGTGTCCCCTTCCGCCCTGAGTGCCTGTTGTGTGTTCCCGCCCTGCCCAGGGCAACCTCCATCCTAGCATCTGCTGCTGTGAGGGTGGGCATGTGTCTGGGTCTACGTCTCACACCTCCGCTGGACCAGAGCTGCTTTGGGGTAGAAGCTGGCTGTCTCAACCTAAGCAATTCCTTGCTCTTCTCCTTGTAGCGTATTGGGAGCAAAGAGAAGAGATAAAGGAGGTAAAGATCTATGTCAACCTGATGTTTTTGCTTCCCAGACAACAAATATTCACGGCTTAGGGTCCACTTTCAGCTTAAGGAAATATTTTTCATCTGGGCGTGGGGGCTTATGCCTATAATCCTAGCACTTTCGGAGGCTGAGGCGAGAGGATTGCTTGAGGCCAAAAGTTCAAGATCAACTTGGCCAACATAGCAAGATCCCGTCCCTTTATTTTAAACCTTTATTTTTAAAAAATAAATAAATATAAAATTAAAAGGGCCGGGCGCAGTGGCTCACGCCTGTAATCCCAGCACTTTGGGAGGCTGAGACAGGCAGATCACCTGAGGTCAGGAGTTTGAGACCAGCCTGGCCAACATGGTGAAACCCCGTCTCTACTGAAAATACAAAAATTAGCCGGGCATGGTGGTGTGTGCCTGTAATCCCAGCTACTTGGGAGGCTGAAACTGGAGAATCGCTTGAACCCACGAGACGGAGTTTGCAGTGAGCCAAGATCACACCACTGCACTCCATCCTGGGCAACAGAGCAAGACTCCATCTCAAAAAATACATATGTATGTGTGTGTGCATGTGTGTATATATATGTATGTGTGTATGTGTATATATATGTGAAATTTTAAAAAGAAAATATTTTTCATTAATGTTTACCTCATCAAAGGTTTTTTTTCCAATAACAGCTTTAGGGAACTCTAATTCACATACTCATCCACTTAAAACATACAACTCTTGGCTTCTTTAATTTCCTGGAAAAAAAAAAAAACACAAAACATACAACTCCCTGATTTTTAGTATATTCACCGAGTTGTGCAGACATGACCATTGTGTAGTTATATTCAGAACAGTTTCATACCCTGCAAAGAAACCCCATGTCCATCATCCCACAAACCTCCATCCATCCCTGGTAACCAGTAATTGACTTTCTATCTGTAAAGATTTGCCTGTTCTGGACATTGCGCTTACAAATGGAATCATACAACATGTGGTCTTATTTATTTATTTTAATTTGTTTTTTTTTTCCTTTTATCTTCCCATGCTACATTGACCTAAACATACGGCCTTTGTGAACATATAAAAATTTTAACCCCGGTCCCTTCTGTGAATCACACTGCTTCCTCCCTAGGCCAGACCACCATCATATTGTAGCTAAAGTGCCACAGCTATCTCCTAGTTTCTTTCCTTCCTCCTTCCCTCCGTCCTTCCCTTTTCCCTTCTTCCTTCCTTCCCTCCTTCCTTCCCTCCCTCCTTCCTTCCCTCCTTCCCTCCCTCCTTCCTTCCCTCCCTCCTTCCTTCCCTCCTTCCCTCCCTCCTTCCTTCCCTCCTTCCCTCCCTCCCTCCCTCCTTCCTTCCCTCCCTCCTTCCTTCCCTCCCTCCTTCCTTCCCTCCTTCCTTCCCTCCTTCCTTCCCTCCCTCCTTCCTTCCCTCCTTCCCTCCCTCCTTCCTTCCCTCCCTCCTTCCTTCCCTCCTTCCCTCCCTCCTTCCTTCCCTCCTTCCCTCCCTCCCTCCCTCCTTCCTTCCCTCCTTCCCTCCCTCCCTCCTTCCTTCCCTCCTTCCCTCCCTCCCTCCTTCCTTCCCTCCTTCCCTCCCTTCTTCCTTCCCTCCTTCCCTCCCTCCTTCCTTCCCTCCTTCCCTCCCTCCCTCCTTCCTTCCCTCCTTCCCTCCCTCCTTCCTTCCCTCCTTCCCTCCCTCCCTCCTTCCTTCCCTCCTTCCCTCCCTTCTTCCTTCCCTCCTTCCCTCCCTCCTTCCTTCCCTCCTTCCCTCCCTTCTTTCTTCCCTTCTTCACTCCTTCCCTCCCTCCCTCCCTCCCTCCCTGGCTGGAATGCAGTAGCTCAGTCACTGCTCACTGCAGCCTGGGCTCAAACGATCCTCCCGCCTCAGCCTCCCCAGTAGCTGGGAATTCAGGTGCCCTCCACACCTGGCTGATTTTTATTTTTTGTAGTGATGGGGTCTTGCCGTTTTGCCCAGGCTGCTGTCCAACTGTTGGGCTCAAGCAGTCCTCCCAGCTAGGCCTCCCAAAGTGCTGGGATTCCAGGTGTGAGCCACCGCACCGGCCCCTCTGTCTGTTTTTCTGTTACTGTCTCTGTCTCTCTGAGTTTCTTGTCCCCCCTGTCTCTCGTTCCTTATCCCCATCTCTCAGGGTCTCAGTCCCTACCCTTGGGGTCTCCCCGGCGCCCAGTCTCTGCCCCTCTCACTCCCTCTTCCCACCTTCCTTCCAAGCTCCCTGTCCTCCTCCTGCAGACTTGAGCTCTGCCCACCTGCCTGTCTGACCGCGGCCCTCCCTCCCCGCCCCACAGGCCCGTTCTTCCGCTACCGCACCTACCTGGACTGGCTGGAGCAGCCCTTCCCCGGGGCAGTGCCCAGCCTGCGGCCCCTGCTGCGCCGCGCCTGGCCGGCCCCGCTCTTCGGCCTGCTGTTCCTGCTCTCCTCTCACCTCTTCCCGCTGGAGGCCGTGCGCGAGGACGCCTTCTACGCCCGCCCGCTGCCCGCCCGCCTCTTCTACATGATCCCCGTCTTCTTCGCCTTCCGCATGCGCTTCTACGTGGCCTGGATTGCCGCCGAGTGCGGCTGCATTGCCGCCGGCTTTGGGGCCTACCCCGTGGCCGCCAAAGCCCGGGCCGGAGGCGGCCCCACCCTCCAATGCCCACCCCCCAGCAGGTCAGGCGGCGCGAGGGAGGCTTCCCAAGACCCAGCAGCCCCCACCTCCAAGGGCTGGCTCTGCCCCTAGCCGGGAGGAGAGCGGGGAGCAAGGGGCCAGGGCCACCACCTTTTTGAGCAGAGTGTCGCCCCCTCGGCAACCATGGCCTGCCAGCCCCTGTCGGTAGGGAAAAGATCCCTGGTACTGACAGATGCCCCTTGTTGCTAGCGCTTGTCACCCCGCAGTGTGGTGAACTGCCCCCTGTCGCTAGGAAAAGGTGGTAACTTAGCAACCCTGTGCCACCCCTCTGTTGCCACAGAAGTGTCACCCCCCAGAACCAGATTGTTCCTGCTTGCTGGGGATGCCATCCTTTGCTAGTGGTGGGTCACCCTCTGTTGCTAGGGAAACGGTTCCCTAGCAACAGAACGCCACTATTTGCTAGGGAAGCAGGATCCCTAGCAACAGTAGCTCACCTCCTTTTTACCAGAAGTTTTGCTCTGTTGCTGCAGATACGGCACTCCCTGCACTGCCCCTTTGTTGCTAGGAGCTAGCACTGCTCCACCCCGTGGGATGTCCTCACATAGCAGCCCTCAGCAGCCCTCTGCAAGGAAATAGCAATTTCCAATCCCTGACCAGTGCTGTTCCCCAGCAGAGGGCACGCCATTCCTACCAACTACAGTTACACTGTTGCTAAGGAAGCCAAACCTCCCCCTGGAAACTATGGGTTGACCCTTGTTGCCAGAGAGGCTCCACCCCCCGGCACCTGCATTGCTAGGCAAGTCGCACGGCCATAGCTGTGGACTCTCTTGTGGCTGAGGAAGTATTGCCCCCGTGTTGCTAGGGAGATGGCACCCCCGGCAACCAGGAGTAGACTGCCCTTGTGTTCCTGACAGCTGCAGTCAGCCTTCCCCCAGGGGCTTGGACTGCGGCTGGGGGAACAGCCTGTTGATGTAAATGATGAACTACTACTCCCTGCTAGGGTTGTCCCCTAGTCGTCACAAACTGCCATTCTGTTGTGGGGGTAGTGACACCCCCACGGGAATTTGTTACCACTGCCCTAATAACCGTGCCCTGACCTCCAGCTGCTAGAGAGAGGATGTCCCCCTAGTAAAGCCAAGCAGGAATTGAAGGTTTTTCTAAATCTGCTCGGTCCTCACTCCTAAAGGATGGCTCCCCTCCTGTCATCAGAGGCCACCAAGGCTTCATATGGGCCAGTGTTTCCCACTGCTGGGGCTGTCGACATGAGTGATGAGGGAGCCACTGTATTGCTAGAGGTGACACTTCTCCAATAATCACTGCGACCAGGAAAAAAGCCCCTTCCTAAAAGCCTTTCTAAACATCCTAGGCATTGTTGCTAAGGAATGCCTTTTCCTTAGCAACAAAGATCATGGGGACCCCACTGGCGCCTGGAACATCTCCCTAGCAACCGTGAAGCACCTTGTTATTAGGGATGATAACCACAACTTCCCTGGCAACTGCAGTGTCCGACAATTTAGAAGGGACCATCCTTGGCGGCTTCTCTGAATATACTGAGTTTGGTTGCTAAAGGACTCATAGCTTAGCAACCATAGCCCTTCAAGGCTTTTCATGGCTGTGGCGGGCCCCATTAGGTACCAAAAGAAGAAGAACCCCATTGTCAGTGAACTGTACCACCCAGCCCACCCACCTTCCTACCCTACAGGCACCCTCTGGGCCACCCTCCCTTGCTGCCCTAGCAAGTCTGACAGCCAGAGGGCCATTGCCTGGCCAGGATCCCTTCCTTAGCATCCGGGGCTGGGACACTAGCAGGCGTCGGGAGGGGGCCTGGCTGAGCTGCATGTCTGTCCCCCACCCTCATCCTCCACCCCCCAGTCCGGAGAAGGCGGCTTCCTTGGAGTATGACTATGAGACCATCCGCAACATCGACTGCTACAGCACAGATTTCTGCGTGCGGGTGCGCGATGGCATGCGGTACTGGAACATGACGGTGCAGTGGTGGCTGGCGCAGTATATCTACAAGAGCGCACCTGCCCGTTCCTATGTCCTGCGGTGAGTGAGCCCGCCCAGTCTCAGGTGACACTGCAGAACTACATCTCCCAGCAGGCCCCAGGGTAGCCTGCAGCGTCCCTGGCTGGGCCCCTGCCCCCGGAGGCTCATGGGAATTGTAGTTTGTTTAGCCTGGTTTTGCCCTGCCTCTAATTATAGTGGCAGCATGCCGGTGTAAAATCGTTCCCCCTCTCGGGGCCTCAGTTGCTACTTCTGTAAAGTCAGCCTCACTCAGCAGAAGCAATGTACTGAGTCCTGTGGACTCAATAGCCAGCCTTCCTGGAATCTTGGCCGTCCAGGTTATGGAGAAACCTTGAGGAGTTAGTTGACCTCTTAGTTGCCTCAAGTGTTGAATGGAGTGAATGCTATTTATTACTGGTTTCATAGGTAGATAGAAGGACTAAATGTGATAAAATGTGAAATGTATTTAATGTGAGGCCTGACAGGTAAGTGCGTGCTGTGTATTCATTTTTATTGTTTTTCATTCTTCCAATATTTCTCGAGTGGAGACTCTGTGCTTGACACTGTTATCTGTGCAGCCTTTAGAAGCAGAAACTCAGCCGGGTGCGGCAGCTCACGCCTGGAATCCCAGCACTTTGGGAGGCCCAAGCAGGTGGATCATGAGGTCAGGAGTTCGAGACCAGCCTGACCAACATGGTGACATGCTGTCTCTACTAAAAATACAAAAAATTACCCTGGTGTGGTGGTGGGCGCCTGTAGTCCCAGCTACTCGGGAGGCTGAGGCAGGAGAATGGCTTGAACCCGGGAGGCAGAGGTTGCAGGGAGCTGGGATCTCGCCACTGCACTCCAGCCTGGGCGACAGCGAGACTCCGTCTCAAAAAAAAAAAAAAAAAAAAAAAAAAAAAAAAAAACAGAAGTAGAACTCATAGCCAGGCATGGTGGCTCACACTTGTAATCCCAGCAGTTTGGGAGGCCCAGGCAGGTGGATCATCTTGAGGTCAGGGCAATATGGTGAAGACCAGCCTGGGCAATATGGAGAAACCCCTTCTCTACTAAAAATACAAAAAATTAGCTAGGCATGGTGGCGGGCGCCTATAATCCCAGCTACTAGGGAGGCTGAGGCAAGAGAATCACTTGAACCCGGGAGGCGGAGGTTGCGGTGAGCCAAGGTCACCTGGGCAACAGAGAGAGACTTTGTCTCAAAATAAAATAAAATAGGCCGGGCACGGTGGCTCATGCCTATAATCCCAGCAATTTGGGAGGCCAAGGTGGGTGGGTCACAAGGTCAGGAGATCAAGACCATCCTGGCTAACACGGTGAAACCCTGTCTCTACTAAAAATACAAAAAATTAGCCGGGTGTGGCGGCGGGTGCATGTAGTCCCAGCTACTGGGGAGGCTGAGGCAGGAGAATGGTGTGAACCCGGGAGACGGAGCTTGCAGTGAGCCGAGATCGCGCCACTGCACTCCAGCCTGGGCAACAGAGCGAGACTCTGTCTCAAAAACAAACAAACAAAAAAACACAAAAAACAAACAAAAATAATTATTAATTTAATTTAATTTAATTAGATAAATGTGGAAGGGGAAGACCCAGGAAGGGTAAGTTTTGGGAGTAAGAAGGATATTATTATTAGTATTAGTATTAGTATTAGTATTAGTATTAGTATTAGTATTAGTATTTTGATGCTCTGTCACCCAGGATGGAGTGCAGTGTTGTGATCTCAGCTCACTGCAACCTCCATCTCCTGGGTTCAAGTGATTCTCGTGCCAAGAGTAGACGCAGGGTTTCACCATGTTGGCCAGGCTGGTCTCGAACTCTTGGCCTCAAGTGATCCGCGTGCCTCGGCCTCCCAACGTGCTGGGATTACAGGCGTGAGTCACCATGCCCGGCCAAAATTTTTTAAGTATTATTATTATTTTTTTTTTACTTTTTAAAAAATGTATAGAGATGAGGTCTCACTGTGTTGACCAGGCTGGTCTCAAACTCCTGGCCCCAAGCAGTCCTCCCATCTCAGCCTCCCAAAGTGCTGAGATTACAAGCATGAGCCACTGCATCTGGCCAGGTATAGATGACGCTTAAAGCTCTGGGGCTGAGGCCAGGTCAAAGCACCCCAGTGTTTAGACAAGTGCTTCTCAACTGGGGGCAACTGTGCTGCTGCTGCACCCCCAGGAGACACATGGCAATCCCTGGAGACATGTTGTTGTAACTGGAAGGTGCTAGTCGGATGTCGTGGGTGGGGGCCAGGGATGCTCCTAAACACCTTAAAATGCACAGGATCCATCGTTTTTGTTTATTTTACAGCTCAAGTGCAGTGGCGTGATCTCGGCTCACTGCAACCTCTCCCTCCCAGGTTCAAGCAATCCTCCTGTCTCAGCCCCCCTAGTAGCTGGGATTATAGGCACGTGCTACCATGACAGACTAATCTTTGTATTTTTAGCCTCCCAAAGTGCTGGGATTACAGGTGCCAGCCATTGCACCCAGCCTCCGCACTCTTGAAGAACCAGAAAGCCAATGGTCCTCCCTTCTCAAGAAAACAAGAGTTGGCCAGGTGCAATGGCTGACATCTGTAATTCCAGTATTTTGGGAGGCCAAGGTGAGAGGATCACTTAAGCTCAGGAGTTCGAGACCAGCCAGGTCAACATAGCAAGACTCCATCTTTACAAAGAAAAAAAAAGAGGCTGGGCGCGGTGGCTCAGACCTGTAATCCCAGCACTTTGGGAGGCCAAGGTGGGTGGATCACAAGGTCAGGAGATCGAGACCATCCTGGCCAACGTGGTGAAACCCCATCTCTACTAAAAATACAAAAATGGCTGGGTGCAGTGGCTCACGCCTGTAATCCCAGCACTTTGGTAGGCCACGGCGGGTGGATCACAAGGTCAAGAGATTGAGAGCATCCTGGCCAACATGGTGAAACCCCGTCTTTACCAGAAATACAAAAATTAGCCTGGCATGGTGGTGGGCACCTGTAGTCCCAGCTGCTCGGGAGGCTGAGGCAGGAGAATCACTTGAACCCGGGAGGCAGAGGTTGCAGTGAGCCGAGATTGCGCCACTGCACTCCAGCATGGGCGGCAGAGCGAGACTCCGTCTGAACAACAACAACAAAAAATACAGAAATTAGCTGAGTTTGGTGGCGCTTGCCTGTAATCCCAGCTACTTGGGAGGCTGAGGCATAAGAATCGCTTGAATCCAAGAGGCAGAGGCTGCAGTGAGCCTTGTCGTGTGGCAACAGAGCGAGACTCTGTCTCCAAAAAAATAAAAAGAGTGAGGAAAGATGGTGCTGGGCCTTGGAGGAAGAGGAACATATCTCCTGGGCCCAGAATAAGGAAGGACCACAGGCCAGGGACTTCTGGATCTTCATGAGCCAGGCAGGAGTTGTCAAATGTTAACAGGCATCAGAGTCACTGGAGGACTTGTTAACTTGGAAGACTTCTCCTGGGCCCCACCCCCAGGGCTTCTGGTGCAAAAGGGGTGGGGACAAGGATTTGTATGTCTCACAAGTTCTCAGGTGATGCTGATGCCAGACCTGGGACCCCAGGTTAAGAACCACCGGGCTGCCCGGGTGTGGTGTCTGACACCTGTGATCCCAGCACTTTGGGAGGCCAAGGCGGGCAGATCACGAGGTCAGGAGATCGAGACCATCCTGGCTAACACGGTGAAACCCCGTCTCTACTAAAAATAGAAAAGAAAATTAGCCGGGCGTGGTGGCGGGCGCCTGTAGTCCCAGCTACTCGGGAGGCTGAGGCAGGAGAATGGCGTGAACCTGGGAGGCGGAGCTTGCAGTGAGCCAAGATCGCGCCACTGCACTCTAGCCTGGGCGACAGAGCGAGACTCTGTCTCAAAAAAAAAAAAAAAAAACCACTGGGCTGAAGAATTAAGACTTGTTGGTCCTGGGAGAGGAAGGGCAGTGGAATATAAAATGTTAAATCTTTAAAGAAGAAGAGGGTCTTGATAGGACTGAGTGTGTATGGAAGGCTGCGAGCTCCTGGATCCCTGAAGGAGACAGAGGCCTGTAGCCTCCTCCGCCTTCCGGAGCTAGGGTCATGGGTCTGAGTGGGGAGGGCCTGGGGCCTGGTCTCCTGGATCTGAGGGAGGAGGGAGGTGGGGTCTGGTCTCCTGGATCTGAGGGAGGAGGGAAGTGGGGTCTGGACTCCTGGATCTGAGGGAGGAGGGAGGTGGGGTCTGGTCTCCTGGGTCTGAGGGAGGAGGGACTGGGGCCTGATCTCCTGGGTCTGAGGGAGGAAGGGGTGGGGTCTGGACTCCTGGGTCTGAGGGAGGAGGGGCTGGGCCTGCACTTCTCGGTCTGAGGGAGGAGGGGCTGGGGTCCTGGACTCCTGGATCTGGGGGCAGTGGGCACTGGGGACCTGGACTCGTAGGTCCTGACTCCCAGCCTCCTCCTCAGGAGCGCCTGGACCATGCTGCTGAGCGCCTACTGGCACGGCCTCCACCCGGGCTACTACCTGAGCTTCCTGACCATCCCGCTGTGCCTGGCTGCCGAGGGCCGGCTGGAGTCAGCCCTGCGGGGGCGGCTGAGCCCAGGGGGCCAGAAGGCCTGGGACTGGGTGCACTGGTTCCTGAAGATGCGCGCCTATGACTACATGTGCATGGGCTTCGTGCTGCTCTCCTTGGCCGACACCCTTCGGTACTGGGCCTCCATCTACTTCTGTATCCACTTCCTGGCCCTGGCAGCCCTGGGGCTGGGGCTGGCTTTAGGTGGGGGCAGCCCCAGCCGGCGGAAGGCAGCATCCCAGCCCACCAGCCTTGCCCCAGAGAAGCTCCGGGAGGAGTAAGCTGTCACGACGCTCCCTCTGCCAGCTGGTCCCGGGAATTCTGTGAACCAGGCTGCTGTCTCCTCCCCAGAAAGAGTCCTTACCTTGGAGAGGGTCCTGGAGAGAATTTCCTCTTCCCCAGCTAAATACCCTGCCTGCAACTGAAGCAGACCCGGGGGTGTCCTCCCTGCCCTCTGCCCAGAGGCCACCTCCACTCCTACAAAATCAAAGTATTGTCCAGACAAGAGTCACTGGCCCCTGCTCCAGCTTCTGGGTATCCAGAGAGCACTGCACTTCCCCAAAACGGAAGGGGCCCCTGGGCAGTGGGTTTTGGGCAAATTCCCTTTCTTTGCATCCACAATGTGGGGTCGGAGCTTGGGGGCAGGTCCTGGGAGTGGGAAGCCTCTTCCTTGTGTCTTTCGCTCCACTTTTAGCTCATCGCACCAATATTGCAGACTTGGAAGGAAGCATAAGCTTCCCATTTCACAAAGGGGAAACTGAGGTGCGGGTGCGCGGGCCTGGGGACGGCCGTCCCATGGCTTCCATCTGAGCCACCTCGGGACCCCAGCGCTCCTGGCGCCCTCTTCTCATCGCTTGGCCTATGACAGGTCACCGTGTGTAAATCTTTCCCAATAAAGTGTTGCACAAAGGCATCCTGTCCGTGCAGGTATCTGGGTGATAAACGGTGGGAAGGACTTAGTCCACCAAGTCCCAGGGTGAGGTACAGCCCCCCCGCCCAGCCCAGGAACCAAACTGTCAGGCCCGGGGCACCACGGGGACTTCAGCTCCCAGGAGACCTTTCGCATCAGCGGCCCTGAGAAACCACAGGAAGTGTACCTTACTCCCTCCGGGCCACCTGCTGGCCAGGTACACACCTGCCCCTGGCCCCTCCCTTACCTGGGGCAGTGTCTGCCTGGTGGCCACTAGAGACAGCCCAGCCTGGGCCATGGAAGAAAACCCGACCTTGGAATCAGAAGCCTGGGGCTCCTCTAGGGGGTGGCTGGCCCCCCGGGAGGCCAGAGGAGGTAGGGAATGCCAGGAGAAGCTCAGATCCATCCGACCTTCAGGCTAGGTGGGAGTCCTGCTGGAGGAGGAAAGGGGAGGCCTGGCCTCCTGAGTCTGAGGGCTAAAGAGAGAAGGTTCCACTTCCTGATATTATGGGGGAGAAGGGAACTGGAGGCTGGAACTCCAGGGTCTGAGGAGGAGGAGCCTGGAGAACCAGGCTAGTCTGGGAGGAGGGGAGGGCTAAGGGCTGGGAGTTTGGGTGTCTTGGGAATAGGAGAGGCTGGGTTCCCACACTCCTGAGCTAGAGGGAAAAGGAAGTTGAAGCCTGGACTCCACTGCCCTGGAGTAGGAGGGTTCCACGCTTGGGGATGGAGTTGAGGGCTGTGGACCCCTGGGTCCAGGGGAAGTAGAGGCTGGCACCCGGACTCCTGGGCCTGAGGGAGGAGGGGCTGGGAACCTGGTTTCCTGGTCTGAGGGAGGAGGGGCTGGGTGCCTGGATTCCTATGTCTGAGGGAGGAGGAGCCGGGGGCCTGGACTCCTGGGTCTGAGGGAGGAGGGGCCGGGGGCCTGTTCTCCTGGGTCTGAGGGAGGAGGAGCCGGGGGCCTGGACTCCTGGGTCTGAGGGAGGAGGGGCCGGGGGCCTGTTCTCCTGGGTCTGAGGGAGGAGGGGCCGGGGGCCTGTTCTCCTGGGTCTGAGGGAGGAGGAGCCGGGGGCCTGGACTCCTGGGTCTGAGGGAGGAGGAGCCGGGGGCCTGGACTCCTGGGTCTGAGGGAGGAGGAGCCGGGGGCCTGGACTCCTGGGTCTGAGGGAGGAGGGGCCGGGGACCTGGTTTCCTGGTCTGAGGGAGGAGGAATTAGGGCCCAGACTCCCGGGTCTTCCCAGCCCCCTGCTCCTCCCCAGGCCCATCGCTGTCTTCTGTGCTGAACGAGCTGCCCAGTGCTGCCACCCTTCGGTACCGAGACCCTGGGGTGCTGCCTTGGGGGGCGCTGGAGGAGGAGGAGGAGGATGGAGGAAGGAGCAGAAAGGCCTTCACAGAAGTCACCCAGACAGAGCTGCAGGACCCTCACCCTTCCCGGGAACTGCCCTGGCCCATGCAGGCCAGACGGGCACACAGGTGAGGCCCCACCTCCAGCTGGGACCCGCACAGCCCGGACCGGGCCCTTCTCCCATACCCTGGACTCGGTCTCCTCCCTCTGTCCTCTGCCGCTCCTGGCTTCTGGGGCCTCTCTCTGCCCCGCTCAGAGCTGCCTCTCTTGGTTTCTTTCTTCCCCTCATCTTTGTCTCTACTTCGGACTCCAGGTGAGTGCTGCCTTTCGATGGCTCTGGGGTCTCTTCTCTCTGGGATTTGCCGTCTCCCTGGTCTCCACCAATCCTGTCTCTGCCTCAGTTTCTCTCTGTGTGTGTGTCCAAAATCTGTTAATATTTATTTCTCTCTGCTTTATACCTTCCTTCATCTTTGCCTCCTCTTCCAAGCCTCCCTCTCTTTAACTTCTTTCTTTTCCCATTCTCACTGCATAATTTGCAGGGCCTGGTGAACAATGAAAATGCAGGTGCCCTCCTTCAAAAATGATTATGGGCCCATTGCAGTGGCTCACACCTGTAATCCCAGCACTTTGGGAGGCCCAGGCGAGTGGATCACCTGTGGTCAGGAGTTCAAGACCAGCCTGGCCAACATGGCAAAACCCCAACTCTACTAAAAATACAAACATTAGCTGGGTGTGGTGGCGGGTGCCTGTAATCCCAGCTACTCGGGAGGCTGAAGCAGGAGAATCGCTTGAACCAGGGAGATAGAGGTTGCAGTGAGCCAAGATCGTGCCATTGGACTCCGGCCTGGGTGATAGAGCGGGACTCCATCTCAAATATATATATACGCGTATATACGCGTATATATATACGCATATATGCGTATATATATGCATATGTGTGTATATATATACACATATATATGTATATATATGTGTATATATATGGAAAAAACAATAAAAAATAACAATGTATCAACACTCCCACGCCGATCAGTAGTGGGATCATGCCTGTGAATATAGCCACTATACTGCGGCCTGAGTAACATAGCGAGACCCCCATCTCTATTTTTTAAAAGTAATAATCAAAGTAACAATATGACAAAAAATAATACAAGTTAAAAGAACAGCTATCTATATAACATTTACCTTGTACCGGGTGTTATAAGTAATCTAGAGGTGATTTAAAGTGCATTGGAGGGCTGGGTGTCGTGGCCCATACCTGTAGCCCCAGCGCTTTGGGAGGCTGAGGCGGGAGAATTGCTTGAGCCTGGAAGTTTGAGGCTGCATTGAGCTATGATTGCACCACCGCACTCCAGCCTGGACAACAAAACGAGACATTTGTCTGTAAAAATCAGATAAAAATTAAAATAAAATAAAACAAACACAGGAGGATGTGTGTAGCCTGTATGCAAATACTATACCGTTTTATATAAGGAATTTGGGCATCTACAGATTTCAGTATTCTTGGGGAGTCCTTGAACCAACCCCCATGGATACTGAGGGATGGCTGTATTCATAAAGTGAGAGCCCAGATAAACTCCAGCTAGGGCAAGTGACACGGCATGACAGCACCCTGTGCGTCCCTCCCCTGACACCCCCTTTTTCCTCACAAATACAAGGTAACCTCTTCTCCCTAACCTTTTTTTTTTTTTTTTTGACAGAGTCTTGCTCTGATGCCCAGGCTGGAGTGCAGTGGTGCAGTCTCAGCTCACTGCAGCCTCCGACACCTGGGCTCAAGCGATCCTCCCACTCCAGCCTCCTGCTTTTCTGTAGAGCTTTGCAAGCTGTGCTCTGCAACGTTGTGCAAATAGAATCATACAGTCTTCAGTCTTTTGTGCTGGCTTCTTCTGCCTAGCATTAGGTTTCTTTCTTTTCTTTCTTTCTTTCCTTTCTTGGAATCTCACTCCGTCACCCAGGCTGGAATGCAATGGCGCCATCTCAGCTCACTGCAACCTCCACCTCCCAGGTTCAAGCAATTTTCCTGCCTCAGCCTCTCGTGTAGCTGGGATTACAGGCACCCGCCACCAGGCCCAGCTAATTTTTTTTTTTTTTTGGTATTTTTAGTAGAGACAGGATTTCACCATGTTGGTCAGGCTGGTCTCGAACTCCTGACCTCAGGTGATTCACCCACCTCGGCCTCCCAAAGTGCTGGGATTACAGGCCTGAGCCACTGTACCCAGCTGGTTTCTTTTTTATTGCTACAGAGTATTCTATCTTATGTATAGGCCACAATTTACTTCTCCATTCTACTGTTGGATTGTGTCTACATTCAGATGGTTCCCAGTCTGGGGCTGCGAAACCCCTCATTTTCTGCCTGTTTCCCTCCCAGGCAAAGAAATGCCAGCAGGGACCAGGTGGTCTATGGCTCTGGAACTAAGACGGACCGATGGGCGCGGCTACTTCGGAGGTCCAAGGAGAAAACAAAGGAAGGCTTGCGAAGCCTGCAGCCCTGGGCGTGGACACTGAAGAGGATCGGGGGTGCGGTGGGGTTTGGGTGGTGTCCTGGGGGCAGGGCCTGGACTCCTGGGTCTGAGGGAGGAGGGGCTGGGGACGGACTCCTGGGTTTGAGGGAGGAGGGGCTTGGGCCTGGATTTTTGGGTCTGAGGGAGGAGGGGCTGGGGGTCTGGACTCTTGGGTCTGAGAAAGGCACGGCTGGGCCTGGCGCGGTGGCTCACGCCTGTAATCCCAACAGTTTGGGAGGCCGAGGTGGGTGGATCACCTGAGGTCAAGAATTCGAGACCAGCCTGACCAACATGGTGAAACCCCCGTCTCTACCAAAAATACAAAAACTAGCTGAGCATGGTGGCGCACGCCTGTAATCCCAGCTACTCGTGAGGCTGAGACAGGAGAATTGCTTGAACCCAGGAGGCGGAGGTTGCAGTGAGCCGAGATCGCGCCACTGCACTCCATGCTGGGCGGCAGAGCGAAACTCCGTCTCAAAAAAAAAAAAAGAAAAGAAAAGAAAAGAAAAATATATATATATATATATAGAGAGAGAGAGAGAGAGAAAGAAAGGAAGGAAGGAAGGAAGGAAGGAAGGAAGGAAGGAAGGAAGGAAGGAAGGAAGGAAAGAAAAGAAAGAAAGGAAGAAAGAAAGAAAGAAAGAAAGAAAAGAAAGAAAGAAAGAAAGAAAGAAAGAAAGAAAGAAAGAAAGAAAGAAAGAAAGAAAGAAAGAAAAAGAAAGAAAGAAAAGAAAGAAAGAAAGAAAAGAAAGAAAAGAAAGAAAGAAAGGAAGGCGCGGCTGGACCCCAGTCCAGGGGTAGGAGGGGCTGGTCCTGCTCCCGGGAAGGAACCTGAGCCTCTCTCTGCTGCCCCCTGCAGGCCAGTTTGGCGCCGGCACGGAGTCCTACTTCTCCCTGCTGCGCTTCCTGCTCCTTCTTAACGTGCTGGCCTCTGTGCTCATGGCCTGCATGACGCTGCTGCCCACCTGGTTGGGAGGCGCTCCCCCAGGCCCTCCCGGCCCCGACATCTCCTCGCCCTGCGGCTCCTATAACCCCCACTCCCAGGGCCTGGTCACCTTTGCCACCCAGCTCTTCAACTTGCTCTCGGGTGAGGTAGGTGCCTGGGTCCCTGGGGGATTCCCCGCCCACCTGTGACCCCAGTGCCTTCAATGACACGAACCTCAAACCCTGACCCCAGACCCTGACTGTGCAGCTCCAGGAGCCCCGCCTCCTCCCACAGTGGCCCCTGCGCCGCCTTCCCCCCACAGGGTTACCTGGAATGGTCCCCTCTCTTCTATGGCTTCTACCCGCCCCGCCCACGCCTGGCGGTCACCTACCTGTGCTGGGCCTTTGCCGTTGGCCTCATCTGCCTCCTGCTCATCCTGCATCGGTCAGTGGCACCTGCACCCCTGACCCCTGACGGGACGGGTTGGGGTGGGGGAGCAAGTGGTGGTGGCAGAAACCCCCTCCCCAAGAATCCTCAGTCTTTTTTTTTTTGAGACGGAGTTTTGCTCTTATTGCCCAGGCTAGAGTGTAGTGGCGCAATCTCGGCTCACTGCAACCTCCGCCTTCCGGTTTCAAGCGATTCTCCTGCCTCAGCCTCCCAAGTTGCTGGGATTACAGGCGCCCGCCACCACGCCCAGCTAACTTTTTTGTATTTTTAGTAGAGATGGGGTTTCACCATGTTGGTCAGGCTGGTCTTGAACTGCTGACCTCGTGATCCACCCGCCTCGGCCTCCCACAGTGCTGGGATTACAGGCGTGAGCCACCGCGCCCGGCCCCAGAATCCTCGGTCTTGCTGTGTAACCCTTTATTCTGTGTGAGTTAAAATCAAGGTTTTGGGCCAGGAGCGGTGGCCCAGGAGGCGGAGCTTGCAGTGAGCCGAGTTTGCGCCACTGCACTCCAGCCTGGGCGACAGAGCGAAACTCCATCTAAAAAAAAAAAAAAGATCAAGGTTTTGGGATTTGTTTTTGTTTTTCATTTGTTTTGTTTGTTTGTTTTTGAGACAGAGTCTTACTCTGTCGCCCAGGCTGGAGTGCAATGGCACGATCTTGGCTCACTGCAACCTCCACCTCCCGGGTTCAAGCGATTCTACTGCCTCACCCTCCCAAGTAGCTGGGTTTACAGGCTCCGGCCACCACGCCCAGCTAATTTTTTGTATTTTTAGTAGAGACGGGGTATCGCCATGTTGGCCAGGCTGGTCTCGAACTCCTGATCTCAGGTGATCCACCTGCCTCGGCCTCCCAAAGTGCTGGGATTACAGGTGTGAGCCACCGCACCCAGTCTGTTTTGTTTTTTGAGACAGGGTCTCACTCTGTCACCCGGCTAGCGTGCGGTGGTGCAATCATAGCTCACCGGAAGCCTGGGCCTCCGGAACTCAACTGATCCGCCTACCTCAGCCTCGGGAGCAGCTGGGACCACAGGGGTGCACCACCATGTCTTGCTAAAATTTTTTTTTTAATGTTATAGAGACAGGGTCTTGCTATGTTGCCCAGGCTGCGCTCAAACTCCTAGGCTCAAGAGATCTGCTCACCTCAGCCTCCCAAGGTGCTGGAATTACAGGCATGAGCCAATGTGCCTGGCCAAAAGTCAACTTTTTTTTTTTTTGAGACGGAGTCTCGCTCTGTCACCCAGGCTAGAGTGCAGTGGTGCGATCTCAGCTCACTGCAACCTCCGCCGCCCGGGTTCAAGCAATTTTCCTGCCTCAACCTCCCAAGTAGCTGGGATTACAGGCATGTGCCACCATGCCCGGCTAATTTTGTATTTTTAGTAGAAATGGGGTTTCACCATGTTTGTCAGGCTGGTCTCGAACTCCTGACCTCAGGTGATGCACCCGCCTCGGTCTCCCAAAGTGCTGGGATTACAGGCGTGAGCCACCACGCCCGGCAAAGAGCCTCGATTTTAAGAGAAGGGAAAAGCCCTGGAATAGGTCTTAAACAGGGGAATACGGTCTGAGTTGCATCAAAAGAAGGTCCCACTGGCTCAAGAACTGAGAATGGATTATATGCGGGCACAAGTGGAAGCAAGGAGACCATGTGAGGGCCCTCTGTGGTTGTTCACATGAGAGATGATGGGGGCCGGGGCCAGGGCAGTGAAGGTGCACATGGTCTCTTTGTCCAGTTCTGTTTCTGCCCCTGCTGGGGTTCTCTATCTCCTTCCTGGGTCTTTGCCCCCCTCTCTTGAGTCTCTTTACCTGCCCGTCTTCTCTGGGTCTTTTTTTTTTTTTTTTGGAGGCGACCTCCACCTCCTGGGTTCAAGTGATCCTCCCACCTCAGCCTCCCAAGTAGTTGGGATTACAGGCATGCACCACCACGCCTGGCTAATTTTTGTATTTTTAGTAGAGACGGGGTTTCACCACATTGGCCAGGCTGGTCTCAAACTCCTGACCTCAGGTGATCCTCCCCCCTCGGCCTCCCAAAGTGCTGGGATTACAGGCGTGAGCCATGGCGCCTGGCCTGCCCCCTCTCTTGAGTCTTTACCTGCCATCTTCTCTGGGTCTCTGTCTTCTTCTCGGCTCTTCCCGCCGCAGCTCCCTTCTCTGTGTGCCTGTACTTCTTATGGGTCTTTGACCCCCATCTTTTGTAGATGTAGTTTCCCCTTTCTCACTGTCTTTTTCTCCCTTTCTCCGAATCTCCCTCTGGGGCCTCTGTCCCTCCTCCACATCTCTGTCTTCCTCAGGGCCTCTGTTTCTCTCACTCTGGGTTTCTGCCCCCTTCGCTCCGAGGCTCTGTCCCTGTCTCCTAGGTTTCTGCCTCTCTTTGGGGTGCCTGCACCCCAGAACTGTCTCTGAATCTCCCTTGGACTTTGCCTTCAATGACTGTGTCTCCGCCTCTTTGACTCTTTCCCCATCTGGTCTGGTGGGAACTCGCCTAGTACCCAAGGCCTTAGGGTTCATCTTCCCCATTTGTCCCAATATGAGGGGTCTCCCCATAACCCCCGTTCCTGGCTGTCCTTTCACTTCCCGTCTCCCGGGTCTCCCCTCTCAGCTCGGTGTCTGGGCTGAAGCAGACACTGCTGGCGGAGTCCGAGGCTCTGACCAGCTACAGCCACCGGGTGTTCTCGGCCTGGGACTTCGGTCTCTGCGGGGACGTCCACGTGCGGCTGCGCCAGCGCATCATCTTGTACGAATTAAAGGTGCGATTAGGGAGCGGGGTCTGCAACTGGGTAGGGACCAGACAGGACCGGGCTGAGATAACGCACAGGGCCTAACTCGGTGATGGGGCCTCCGGAGAGATGCTAAGCAGCTCCTTCTCCAAGAAAGGCAGGTCCTGGGGAATGAGAAGGTTGAGAGGAGGCCGAGATAGGGCTGCCCGAGCTCCAAGCGTGTAGGAAAAGGATGCGCCAGGGCTGGGATCGGTGGCTAATGCTTGTAACCCCAGCACTTTGGGAGACCGAGACAGGTGGATCGCTTCAGTCTAGGAGTTCGAGACCAGCCTGGGCAACATAGGGAGGCTCCCTCTCTACCAAAAAAAAAAAAAAAAAGTTTGTTTTTTTTTAAGTAAGCACAAGAAGCGGGCGGGGCCTAAGGCAATTTGGTTCAAAGTTAAGTGATGGGAGCGGCCAGCAGGGCGTCTTGATACAGCTGAACTGGAACTTCAGGCCAGGAATAAAGCGCAGGGCCACCTGGGGGCGGAGCCTCTGATGGGCAGGGCTGACCAGGGGCGGGTCTTGGGATGCTGGGCGGAGCCTCAGGGGCGGGGCCTGGGGTGCTGAGATTGACCGCGGAGGGATGGGGGCTTGGGTTGCTGGATCCGGCCGCGAAGGGGCGGGGCTGTAAAGGGCCGCTGGTTTCCTGGAGCGGGTGGAACCAGGACTGCAGAGGTTGTTAGCGGGTGGGGAGACGGCTGCATCAGTTCACGTTAAGGAGGATCTCTGGAGAGCCAGACCTGGGGAACCGGGAGGCCCGCGCCTTGGGAAATGGAGTCCAAGCGGGCATCTCTCCTGCCTTCAGGTGGAGCTGGAGGAGACAGTGGTGCGGCGCCAGGCTGCGGTGCGGACGCTGGGCCAGCAAGCCAGGGTTTGGTTGGTGCGGGTGCTGCTCAACCTGCTGGTGGTCGCGCTCCTGGGGGCAGCCTTCTATGGCGTCTACTGGGCTACGGGGTGCACCGTGGAGCTGCAGGTGCGGACGGTCTTGGAAGAGGAAGCCAGGGGGTCCTGGAACCTACATTTCCAACGGTGGAGGGAGGGGACGGAAGTTTGGGATGCCAGAGATCTTAGAGAGGAAGTATGGGAGAGGGTATGTTCGGACCCTGGACTTAGGGATTTTAAAGGAAAAAGAGAGGCTGGGCGCGGTGGCTTACACCTGTAATCCCAGCACTTTGGGAGGCTGAGGCGGGCGGATCACGATGTCAGGAGTTCCAGACCAGCCTGACCAACATGGTGAAAAACAGTCTCTACTAAAAATACAAAAATTAGACGGGCGTGGTGGTGGGCGCCTGTAATCCCAGCTACTCAGGAGGCTGAGGCAGGAGAATCACTTGAACCCGGGAGGCAGAGGTTGCAGCGAGCCGAGATCGCACCGCTGCATTCTAGGCTGGGCAACAGAGCGAGACTCTGTCTCAAAAAAAAAAAAAAAAAGAAGAAGAAGAAGAAGAGGCCGGGGGGAGGACCTTAAGCTTGGCTCCTCCAGGACCCCAAGCCTCTACTCATGGTCCATCCCGCTCCCAGGAGATGCCCCTTGTCCAGGAGTTGCCACTGCTGAAGCTTGGGGTGAATTACCTTCCGTCCATCTTCATCGCTGGGGTCAATTTTGTGCTGCCGCCCGTGTTCAAGCTCATTGCTCCACTGGAGGGCTACACTCGGAGTCGCCAGATCGTTTTTATCCTGCTCAGGTTCCAGCCTCACGGGGATGGCTGGGAATGATGAAGGGTGGGGGCGGTCAGAGGGATGTTGGCGCTGACAGGTAAGACACGGAAATCCTGCTGATACCGAATCCAGGGATTCAAATCCTGACTCTGTTGGCCAGGTGCAGTGGCTCACACCTGTAATCCCAGCACTTTGGGAGGCCGAGGCTGAGGTCAGGAGTTCGAGACCAGCCTGACAAACATGATGAAACCCCGTCTGTAGTAAAAATACGAATATTAGCCCGGCGGTAGTGGCTTCTGTAGTCCCAGCTACTCGGGAGGCTGAGGCAGGAGAATGGCTCGAGCCTGGGAGGTGGAGGTTGCAGTGAGCTGAGATCGCGCCACTGCACTCCAGTCCGGGTGACAGAGTGAGACCCTGTCTCAAAAAAAAAAAAAAAAAAAGAAAGAAAGAAAGAAAGAAATCCTGATTCTGTCACTGGGCCTCAGCTTCATCTGTGAGATGGGTTGAATGCGGGCGCGTTCCACTGAGAAGGGAACTGCCACATGGTGGGTACCGGGTCAGGGCCCATTCTCTGCCTTCCCCCCTTCAGGACCGTGTTTCTTCGCCTCGCCTCCCTGGTGGTCCTGCTCTTCTCTCTCTGGAATCAGATCACTTGTGGGGGCGACTCCGAGGCTGAGGACTGCAAAACCTGTGGCTACAATTACAAACAACTTCCGGTGAGAACGGCATGGGTGTGCGTGGGACTCTTGGGTCCCTGAAGGAAAGATGGAGCTGGGTGGGTCCAGACTCTTGGTTTGGGCGGAGAGGGGAGCTTGGGGTGCTGGAACACTCTCCCAAGGGTATGAAAGTTTGAAAAACGAGGACCCCCAGAGAAAGTATTGACAGGGTCTCATAGGCTTGCGATGTGGAGACTCGGACGCGTGGGCCTCCAGGTGCCCGGGTCCCGAGTTCTTTCTGATATATTTCTTCCTTCTTCAGTGCTGGGAGACTGTCCTGGGCCAGGAAATGTACAAACTTCTGCTCTTTGATCTGCTGACTGTCTTGGCAGTCGCGCTGCTCATCCAGTTTCCTAGAAAGTGAGAGCCCCGCCCCTTGCTGTGGCCCCGCCCCTCTAGGACGAGGCCGTGCCCCATCGCGCTGTTCTTTTCACCGCGCACCTTTTTACCATTCCCGCCTCTGCCTGCTCCCTTTGCTTGCCCTAGGTCCGCAGATCTCCCCGCTCCCCGCCCTTGTTTTAGTGGGTTACTTCCCTCTGGCCCCGACGGCGGCGACATCTGGGTCCCTTCTAGTCCTCAGGACCCGCCCTCTGGACACACCCCCTCCACGTGGAGTCCTGAAAGTCCCGCCCCCCCCCCCCCAACCAATACGCATGCTTCCTATTGGCGGGCGGGGCGGTGGAGGCGGGGAAACTCCAGGCCGCCACTCCCCTGACTCCGGCCCGGCCCCGCCCCGTCCTTCAGGCTCCTCTGTGGCCTCTGTCCTGGGGCGCTGGGTCGTCTGGCGGGGACCCAGGAGTTCCAGGTGCCCGACGAGGTGCTGGGGCTCATCTACGCGCAGACGGTGGTCTGGGTGGGGAGTTTTTTCTGCCCTTTACTGCCCCTGCTTAACACGGTCAAGTTCCTGCTGCTTTTCTACCTGAAGAAGGTAAGGGGTAGGGGGGACCCTTGGGTCTGAGGCAGGAGGTATTGGGGCCCGCACTCCTGGGTCAAGGGCAAGGAAGATCCTGGGGGCCTGGATTACTCGGTCCTGAGAGAGGAGGGGGTTGGAGGACAGACTACTGCATCTGAGAGGAGGGGTCTAGGGCATTCTGACTTATATGTCTGAGGATCTGGGGACTCAGACTCCGGGGTCCTAGATGAGGAAGGGGCTCAGACTCCTGGTTCGGAAAAAAGGAGAGGCAGGTAGGCCGGGTGCAGTGGCTCACGCCTGTAATCCCAGCACTTCGGGAGACTAAGGCGGGTGGATCACCTGAGGTCAGGAGTTTGAGACCAGCCTGGCTAACATGGCAAAACCCCGTCTCTACTAAAAATACAAAAAAAATTAGCCGGGCTTAGTGGCAGGCGCCTGTAATCCCAGCTACTCAGGAGGCTGAGGCAGGGGAATTGCTTGAACCAGGGAGGTGAAGGTCGAAGTGAGCCAAGATCGTGCCACTGCACTCCAGCCTGGGCGACAGAGCGAGACTCCGTCTCAAAAAGAGAAAACAAACAAACAACAACAACAGCAAAACAAATTAGCCGGGAGTGGTGGTGCACACCTGTAATCCCAGCTACTCGGGAGGCTGAGACACGAGAATAGCTTGAACCCGGGAGGGGAGGCTGCAGTGAGAGCCACTGCACTCCAGCCTGGGCGACAGAGCGAGACTCTGTCTCAAAAAAAAAAGCCTGGGCGACAGAGCGAGACTCTGTCTCAAAAAAAAAAAAAAAAAAAATGGAGGCACAGACTCTTGTGTTTCAGAGCCCTTTTCTCCGTGCCTTCCCCCACCAGCTTACCCTCTTCTCCACCTGCTCCCCGGCTGCCCGCACCTTCCGGGCCTCCGCGGCGAATTTCTTTTTCCCCTTGGTCCTTCTCCTGGGTCTGGCCATCTCCAGCGTTCCCCTGCTTTACAGCATCTTCCTGTAAGTGCGAGAGGCTCCCGCCTCTCTCCCTCCCTCTCTCCCCATTCAGTGTTCAGACTCCTGGCACTATGTGAGCCCAGCCTGTCTTGACTTCAGGATCCCGCCTTCTAAGCTTTGTGGTCCATTCCGGGGGCAGTCGTCCATCTGGGCCCAGATCCCTGAGTCTATTTCCAGCCTCCCTGAGACCACCCAGAATTTCCTCTTCTTCCTGGGGACCCAGGCTTTTGCTGTGCCCCTTCTGCTGATCTCCAGGTGAGACGGCCCAGACTTCTGGGTCTGGGTTTGAATGCGTGTGATCTGGGGGCCACCACCTGCGTCCAAGAGAGGAGAGGCTTGGGCGTGGGAGCAGGCAACGTACTGAGTCTGAGGGAGGAGGCCTAGGCTCCTGGACTGCTGGGTCCGAAGGAGGAGGTGGGCGGGACGTAGGACTCCTGGATCTGAAGGCGGAGGGGCTGGGAGACTGAACTCCTTGAGCCCAGACGAGGAGGGGCTTAGGCGTCCACATCCCTGGCTTCGAAGGAGCCAGACGTTTGGATATAATGGAAGAGCGTGTCAGGAGTGGCTTCCGTTCCTGTCTCCTTCAGCATCCTGATGGCGTACACTGTGGCTCTGGCTAACTCCTACGGACGCCTCATCTCTGAGCTCAAACGTCAGAGACAGACGGTGAGCCAGGCGGGTCCCTGAGAGGGCCCCTGGGGAACATGGAAAGGGGTTGGGGAAGAGGATTGTCTCACCTCCACCTCTCTTTGCCCCAGGAGGCGCAGAATAAAGTCTTCCTGGCACGGCGCGCTGTGGCGCTGACCTCCACCAAACCGGCTCTTTGACCCCCGCAGCCCACGTCCCGCTTTCAGACCCCAGGCCCATTGTAAGCCTAGGTCACAACATCTGTAAACTAGGAGAACTGGAGAAGACTCCACGCCCTTCCAGCTTTGGTATCTGGAGATTTCCAGGGCCCCTCGCCGCCACGTCCCTGACTCTCGGGTGATCTTCCTTGTATCAATAAATACAGCCGAGGTTGCTGAGCGCGCTTTGAAATCTGCGTCCTGAAGGTGGGGGCAGGGCTACAGCGGGGCAGGAGCCAATCAAATGTACGGGCATGTTTGTCGGTGCAGAGCGCTCTTCCGCAAGGAGACTTGTCGGTCATGTCGGCCAATCGACGGCCGCATCTGGTAGCATCAGGGGCGGGCCAACTTATGATTGGTTCAGATCTGTGACAAGAGGCGGTTGCTAGGGGATACCACGAGCCGAACGCCTAGCATTCGCTGTGATAAAGGGCGTCTCAGCCAATCACCTGTCGCTACAGGCCAGGGGGCCGTACCAACTAATTCGGAACCAATCCGCGGTCGAAGTAGGGACAAGAAAAAGGGGGGCATCCTCTCGCCAATCGGAAGTGCAAAGAGGCGGGCGTGCCAGTCCCTGGACAGCTACGACGCCATGAATATCTTGCCCAAGAAGAGCTGGCACGTCCGGAACAAGGACAATGTCGCCCGCGTGCGGCGTGACGAGGCCCAGGCCCGGGAGGAGGAGAAGGAGCGTGAGCGGAGGGTGCTGCTGGCTCAGCAAGAGGTAAGCTCGGAAGCCGGCAGGGCGGCGCTCCGGGGCCCAGCGCGCAGGCGCCGCGGTTGGGGGCCGGAAGCGGAGGCGTTGCGCAGGCTCAATGTGCCCCGTGTGAAATTCGGGACCAGGCGCCGATCCCACTTTCGAGGACGTTGCCCCGCAAACCTTGTGCCCACTTCCACGAAACCTTCCTTGATCTCGCCCTCGTCTTAGTTTTTCCCCCACTGATGTATTTCACATGGCTGGAACAGTGTCTAGCACAAAAGAGAAGCTTAACATTTAATGAATCCGTGAACCCTTGGACAGTTCAAGGAAATTCGGATCACTTTTTAGTTTGCCTGCACAGCCTATTTATTGAGCATCTACTGTATGCTAACTACATGCCGTGCACCTGACTTGCGGAATCCCCAATAAGCACTGTTCGTTCTTAGAGGGGCACTGTCATCTCTGTTGCACGAAGTGAGATGGCTTCAGTGAGGGGAAGGCACATTTTAAGGAGAGGCGGACAGCCAGGCTCCACGCCATCGGGCGAGCCCTTTCGTGCACCGCCCCCTAGACACATACACACAAACACGGGCTTTCCGTATGGCTCTTTAAATCTGTTTGGTGTACACCCAACTTTCATTTCCTTAGCTAGTCTGATCCTCCGCCGTGGGTGGGAGGTAGTCTAGGTTTTTAGAATCTCAGTAGGCTGCTGAGCGCTGTTTGAAATCCGCGTCCTGAAGGCAGGGGACAGGGCTTCAGCAGACTTGGGGTAGTCACTTGGAGCCATGGCTAGAATTCAGATCGTCTGGCCTAATGCATACCTTTATGGCTGTTTTAATTGTCTCACTTGAGGTTAGGAACCCCTTTGGTTTAGGCCAGGGACCTCCTCCCATACATCCTTGATGACCCGTGGTTTACTATTTGAAAGGGAGTTTACAAAACCCAGGCGTTGCCTCATCTGCCTACCCTCACCCCCAGCTAGGACAGGTGCCTCTTTTAGGCGCCTAGTGCTCCCTTTCTCATAACCCCAGCACCCTGGACTGCCATTTTCTGTGGTGGGCACCAGACTCACAGTTCTTGAATTACCTCTAGGTTCTGAATGTCCTGCCTATAACTTTCTCCCCAGGCCCGTACAGAATTCCTACGGAAGAAAGCCAGACATCAGAACTCACTGCCTGAGCTTGAAGCAGCAGAGGCGGGAGCCCCAGGTTCTGGCCCTGTGGACCTGTTTCGGGAGCTGCTGGAGGAAGGGAAAGGAGTGATCAGAGGCAATAAAGAGTACGAGGAAGAAAAGCGACAGGAGAAAGTAAGCTGGCCTCACCCACTTCATCAGAGGGGCCATGAATCGAGTTGGAGGGAGGGGGCACTTTAGCCATTGGTTGTGACCAAGGTCAAACAAGAGTGAACACACAGAATTTAGGACCATACCAAGGCATGACACTCAAAAAGCGTTGGCTATTGCCGTCTGGGCGCCCACAGGGGTTGGAGGTAGATGCTAGAGGTCCCCAGCTGCTGGGCAAACCGCTCAGTTCTCCAAACTGGAGGAGTCTCAAACCTGATGGGCTTTTAAAAATTTAAATCAGCCGGCTGTGGCTCACGCCTGTAATCCCACCACCTTGGGAGGCTGAGGCGGGTGGATCACCTGAGGTCAGGAGTTCAAGACCAGCCTGGTCAACATGGTATCTCTAAAAATACAAAAAAAATTAGCCGGGCATGGTGGTGCGCGCCTGTAATCCCAGGGAAGCTGAAGCAGGAGAATCGCTTGACCCAGGAGGTGGAAGCTGCAGTAAGCCGAGATTGCGCCACTGCACTCCAGCCTGGGTGACAGAGCGAGACCCCATCTCAAAACAATCAAACAAAAAGTGAATCAATCGCCTCTTGCTTTTTGGCTAAGATCAAGTGTAAAAGGTACATCAGTGGCTGTGCATGGTGGCTCACGCCTGTAATCCCAGCACTTTGGGAGGCCAACGTGGGTGGATCACCTGAGGTCAGAAGTTCAAGACCAGCCTGGCCAAACATGGCAAAACCCCGTCTCTACTAAAAATACAAAAATTAGCTGGGCATGGTGGTGTGTGCCTGTAATCCCAGCTACTCGGGGGGCTGAGGTAGGAGGATTGCTTGAACCTGGGAAGCAGAGGTTGCAGTGAGCCGAGATCGTGCCACTGCACTCGAGTCTGGGCAACAGAGCGAGACTCCATCTCAAAAAAAAGAGGTACATCAGCTCTTGTCATTTATCTGCTGTCTCTGGACTTGCTGACCCCACCCATCGCTCCTCTGCTTTGCTTGATCCCTTCAGGCTTCTCTTCAAGTCTCTCTGCAAAGATGCCTGCCTCTGAACACTCAAGTGGCTCCACTTGTCCCCTCCTTCCCCTGCTGTTACTGTACCTGCTACTGTCCCCCCAGGGGGAGCTTTGCCTCTGTTTGTCTTCCATCCCCAGCACCTGGTCCAACTGGTTCATAACAAGCCTTAGATACCTGTTCGCTTAGATACCTGTGTCAGGGAGACACACCTGACACCTTGAAAGATTATATCACATCTCTTGTATTTCCTGGCCCCCTCAGGAGAGGCAAGAGAAAGCTCTGGGCATCCTGACATACCTGGGCCAGAGTGCAGCGGAGGCACAGACTCAACCCCCTTGGTACCAGCTACCCCCAGGGCGAGGGGGCCCCCCGCCCGGCCCAGCCCCAGATGAGAAGATCAAGAGCCGTCTGGACCCTCTGCGGGAGATGCAGAAGCATCTGGGGAAGAAGAGACAGCACGGCGGTGATGAAGGCAGTCGCAGCAGAAAGGAAAAGGAGGGGTCTGAGAAGCAGCGACCCAAGGAGTAAGAAGACCCCACCTCGGCAGACCAGGGCCCAGACCTTCAGGGCTTGGCAGCAGCCCAGCATGGGCACTGCAGCGTCTCTGGTCAGGACAGCCAGGGACTCCGTGAAGGGCTGGCTAGGTGGAGAAGTGGTTCTCAGCATGTGGTCCAGGGAGCCCTAGGGGTCCTGACACCCTTTCCCGGGGTGCTGTGGTGTCAAGCCTATTTTCCTGACACTGGTGGACTTTTCCACTCGTGTTCTCAGGCATGTAGTGCAGGTTTCCAGAGGCTGTGTGATGGGGAGACACCCTCACTCTGATGGCCAATGGCAGATGCTTGTGTCCAAACTTTCTTAGTTTTCACTAATGATTTGCAGCATATTAAGAGAACCCATTTAAACAAAAGCTCTTGGGGTCCTTGGTTTTTAAGAGTATAAAGGGGTCCTGAGACCAAAGAGTTTGAGAGCTGCTGGGTTAGAGAGTAAAAGCAGGCTTCTGTCTCCAGGATGCTGCACCCCTGGTCTAGAGGGGGTACACTGCCTGTAGTCTTCTTTCCTCTAGAAAGGGAAACTGAGGGCCAGGGGGCTGCTAAGTGTGCTTTCTTGACCTGGAGAAGCATCAGATTTTAAAGACTGGGGAGGACCAAAGCCCACAGAAGGGAAGGCCAGAGACGTGCCCATGGCGTCCCAGCACCAAGTGGCTGCTTCCAGCAGGCCTAAGGAGCTGAGGCTGGGGTGTGCTGGATGCAGCGGGGCTTCCAGGCGGCAGCTCCCTCTATGGGAGAGGTTGGGGGAATGGCCTCCTAGGGGCTACCAGCTTTCTGACCTCACTCCTCTCCCCACAGGCCTCCATCCCTGGACCAGCTTCGAGCTGAACGTCTGCGGAGGGAAGCAGCTGAGAGGTCTCGGGCAGAGGCCCTGCTGGCCCGGGTCCAAGGCCGGGCACTACAGGAGGGTCAGCCGGAAGAAGACGAGACGGATGACCGGCGGCGGCGGTACAACTCCCAATTCAACCCCCAGCTGGCCCGGCGCCCCCGCCAGCAGGACCCTCACCTTACTCACTGACTCCTGAGGGGGTACAGGAGAGGCCGCTGCTGCCAGCCGTCATATAAAACTATTTATTCATAAATATTTTCCAAAATGAAAATAGGTTTACCAAAAAATGTCCCTCACTGGGGAGGGGAGGAGGGGGCAGCCCTCGCCCCCGGGCCCCCAGGGTGGGGCTGAGAGGAAAACCTCCCGGCCCCCTCCCTGCTTCCTGGGAGAGGGGGATGCCCCGTGGCTTGGGGCCTCCCTCCAGTCTTCCAGGGCAGGGCCCTCACCTGGGCAGGGGGATCAGCATGCGGGGGAAGGGGGTGGGTAGAGGGAGGGGCCGGTGTCACTGGAGGTCCCGGTCCTCCAGGTAGCGGTACTCAAAGGTGAAGCCTTCCTTCTTCCGCTGGCCCCACTTCTCGTAGTCAAAGTAGATGTAGGTGCCCTGGCCGGGGGAGAAGGCGGTCAGTGAGTGGACGAGGAGGTGGTCTGGGATCTGGGCCGGACCAACAGACAAAGGGGACAATTCTTAGGGCTGTGGATGTGTCAGGCACCGGGCCAGCTGCCCTGCACGCACACACTCTCATCCATCCTCACAAGGTTCTTCTTGGGTAGGAAATGTTATCATGCCACTTCAGCGAGGAGGAAACGGAGGGGGCCGCAGAGGTTCCACCGAAGCCAGCTGCCAGAACGGGGCCCCAGCCCCAGGTGTGAGTGCACAGCCTTCGTTTCCTCGAGGGCTGTGGCTTTTGAGCACCTCTCACGTGAGTACAGGATGCACAGCCTAGCATTTAATCTTCACAAAGACCTCGAGGCAGTGGGTACTGTCACCCTTGTTCTAGAGAATGGAACAGTCTCAGAGTCTAAATCCAAGCACTCTGCAGGGACATTTTATTGGTGACGGAAGTGGTGTGGGAATTTCTGAATGACTGGATGCCCTGAAATGTACTAACTTGGAGGATGGTTTTGGGCCAAACCAGGAAAGGACAGGAAGTCTGTGGTTAACATCTGAGGACACAATGGGAGAGGACCTAGGTTCTAAATGAATGTCTTAAGTGCTTCAAAGATGGCAACCTGGGAGAACCAGGAGAGGGGACTGAGTTCTCTGAGGACAAGGACCTTGTACTACTTCATCCCCATGAAGGGGCTCGGCATCAGGGAAGTATTTGGTGGAAAAAAACATCACTGTAGAACACACCAACTGAAAGTAATTTGAAAAAAAAAATCCATGACACTGACTATGTAGCAGTCACCATTAAGTACTTACATGTTATTAACTCATTTAATCTTCATAACAACTGCATTAGGTAGGTGGTCTTCCCCCCATTTTTACAGATAAGTTAATTGAGACACAGAGGTTCGAGTGACTTGCCTAGAGTCGCCCAGCTGGACTGGGCTGAAACCCAGGTAGGTTGGTTCCAGAGTGTTTGCAAGCAGCAGGAATTTCCCAGTATTAGAACTTGAGAAGCCCATTCAAAAAAAATAGTTTCGGCACTGAGCCCCTGCCCTGCTGAGTGCTGGGACCTGGAGGTGAAGTGGGGGCCATCAAGGTCCCTCGGCAGCAGAGCCCACAGCCTGGTGCAGGGACACATACTGGGAAAATCCCACACCCCAAGCGAGTGTGCCCAGCACTGCAAAGGGGAGGCACTGGGCTGGGTGGCTCCAGGAAGGTTTCTTTGAGGAAGGGACATTTGGGCTGAGACCTACAGGAGGCCTAGGAGCTGGCCAAGTGGAGGATGAGAGGGCGGTGTTCCAGGCTGAGCAGACAGCCAGAGGGAGGAGTACTTGGTCAGGCTGAGGGACTGCGCCAGCTGAAAGGTGGAGGCAAGGGAGCAGAGGCCAGCAGGGGCTGCCTGGAGCCTGGGGACTCTACCCCAACCCTAGCAGCGGGAAGAGAGGGGGCGGGGCCCTCACCTGCTCAAACTCGTCAGTGATGGTCTTGGGCTCCTCGTGCCTCTGGAACCACATCATGTACTTGGTGTGGAATCGCCATGACTGCTTCTTTAGGGCCTTGGCTGCCAGATACTGTGCCTTAGTGCCCTGGGGGAGGAACAGTGGAGAGGGGGATCAGGGGGCCCCCAAACTGGGTGGGGAGCCAGGGGAATGGGGCAGGACATCAGGGCTGAACCCCGGCCCCCGCCACAGACCACAGTTGGGCTGGACAATCCTCTTGGAGATGGGGCTGGGGGCACAGAACATACCAATGCTGATCAGGAGAAGGAAAATGAGACAGGAGGTGAAAATTGCTTTCAGAGAAGCTTTGAGAAGGAAGAAAAACTAATGTGTGATGAGAGCTGAGAGAGGAGGCAATTTAGAAAATTTCCCAAGTGGGGATGAGGGTGGAGGTCACTCATGACTCACTGGGGTTGGGAGGGGGCTGGACAGCTCCCCAGTGGTCTCCAGGGAGGCCTGAGAATGTGCCGATGAGCAGAGTGGGGTCGGCCTAGACTGGGGCTGCTGGAGCAGGGCTGGGGAGGGGCCGCGGGTGAGCCAGTGGGCAACTGGAAGCGGGGCTGAGGTGTGCCTCAGTGGACCAGCCTCGCTGTCAACCCAAGCAGTTCTAACATCTCTGGGCTGGAAGGCGGGGACGGGGACAGGTGGATTTGGGGCAGGGGCCCAGGAGTGGGAATAGGGAGGGGGTGCGGTCCCAGTGGCCGCAGTGGGGCACCCACCTCACCCCTCCAGCCCGAGGGGGGACGGCGGCGGTGGCGGCGAAGCCGGGGGGCCCGAGGCTGCCCCGGGGGCCCTGCTGTACCTCCAGATAGTAGAAGATGAAGAAGAGTGTCTCGGTCGACAGGCGCTGGTAGAATTCCACAGTGTCCGAGTGTGGGGGTGGCATCTGGTGGTGGTAGGGGGGCGTCGGACAGGGGTTCCGGGGGAGGTACTGCCTGTGAGAGCAACAGGAAGGTCAGTGCCAGCTGCCTACTAGTCCTGTCGTGATCAAAAGGGTGCTCAGACATGCATCCCTGCGGGGGGAGGTGGTACAGAAAGACCCAGGGCGGTGCTGACCTTCAGTGGAGAGCCCAAGTCAGGGGCCTGGTGCTCTACCCACAGCCTCACAGGTTCAGCCACTGCCTCCTCCGTAAGACTCAAGTCCCAGACCATCCCCCTTCCCTGTGGCCCCTCACCGAATACGCTCAGAGTCAGAGGGGTGAGGCATGTGGTGCCAGGCGGCCTCTTCCATGGCCTGCTGATAGAGCTGCTCCTTGGTGAGGGGCACAGGGCCCAGTGGACAGACACCCAGCGACAGCGGTATGTTCACCTCTGACAGCTGCAGGGGCGGCTGGGCTGAGGCCGGAGGTGCTGATGTACTGCTCAGGATGATGTCTGTGGGGAGGGTGGGGGTCCGGCCCCCTCAGTGGTGAGGATGGGTCAGGGGCAGCCCCTCCTCTTTGGCCCGCTGCTTCCCCACCATCCTGGGTCCCTCACCTCGCTCGGTCAGGTGCAGCGTTGGCACAGGGTCCTCAATGCCAGAGCTGATGGCTGCCCGTTCCGCCATGGACTTCAAGGAGCTCAGAGGCTCAGGGGCCTGGGGAGGAAACAAGAGGCCTGGCCTGAGCACTTGGGCTGCAGGAGCAAGTGCAGCCTGACACAGGCCCCAGATGCTCTCACCTGCCCTGTTTGGGGGCCGTGGAGGGCCAACGACCCACTCCCCACAATCTACCCATGACAGGTAAAAGCATCAAACTGTAGGGAAACAATCGGAGACCACGACGCATTCATCAGCAGAGGAACGTCTCGTGAGTGGGACTCTGCAGCATGGAATACTACGCCGAGATTTTCAAAATACAAGTTCGTGACATACTACAGAAGTAAACGCCAACCTGCAGAATATGTACAGTGCGCTACCATTTTTGTCAAAGGATGTGCCAATAGTACACGCTCCTTCACTAGGGACACCTACACGCTGGGAGAGCTCCCGCCTGTCTTGAAGGAGGCAGGAGGTCTACATGCTCAGCTGTCTGCCTGTGACTGGCATGGGGTGACTGGAATCGGGGTGGGCCCAGCCCGGCTAGGCTTCAGTCTCCTTGCTGGAAACAGGTAGGTTGGGTCTCCAGCCCCGCAGCCACAGCCTCGTTTCCTATTACAAAGGTTACAGCAGGCTTCTGTTCCCCAAAGTCAGGGCTGGTTCCTCCCATCTCCTCCAGCCACGTGCAGCTGTCCCAAACCCCAGCCCTGTGCTGGACTCTCCACAACGAGTCAGTCGCCAAGGCTTATCCATTCTGTCTCGCTATATCGCCCAGGCAGGTCTCAAACTCCTGGGCTCAAGCTATCCTCCCGCCTCTGCCTCCCTAAGAGCTGGGATTACAGGTGTGAGCCACCACGCCCAGCTATCCGTCCTGCTTCTAAACCCCACTGGATGGCTCCCTTCCCTGTCGTGCCACCATGTCCCACACAGCCCAGGCCTGTCCTCTCCTGCCCAGACCACCCTCCCTCTATCCTGTCCTCACCAGCCCCAGGGGACCTTTCCAATGAAGTCATGTTGTTCCTTCTCTACTCCAAACCTTGCCATGGTTCCCGACCACCCACCCCAGCGATTCATTTTTGTTGTTGGTGGTGTTAAAAGATATGGACCCCTTCTGAAAATCTCAAAGCTGCTGTTTCCCTTTTTCCAGAAAAATGCACGCACTATAAATATCCTGTCCACCTACTTCTAAAATTTGGGCCGGGCACGGTGGCTCACACCTGTAATCCCAGCACTTTGGGAGGTCGAGGTGGGTGGATCACCTGAGGTTCGGAGTTCAAGACCTGCCTGACCAACATGGCAAAACCCCATCTCTATTAAAAATATAAAAATTAGCCTGGCGTGGTGGCAGGCGCCTGTAATCCCAGCTACTCAGTAGGCTGCGGCAGGAGAATCGCTTGAACCCAGGAGGCGGATGTTGCATTCAGCTGAGATTGCACCACTGCACTCCAGCCTGGGTGACAGAGCAAGACTCTGTCTCAAAAAAGAAAAAAAAAAAAAATTAATGCTTCTGTTGGGCCAGAAACTGTTCCAAGAGCTTTATGAGGATGATTTAGTCTTCCAAATAACCCTACATAGTAGGTATAATCGTGACTATTGCCGTTTCCCAGATGAAGGCACAGAAAGGACAATGCCAAGACTTGGACCTGGACAGCCTGGGCGCGCACACTGCCTCCTGGACAGCCTGGGCGCGCACACTGCCTCCTGGACAGCCTGGGCATACACACTGGTCCCCCCATGGAAGCTGCGCTACAGTATACTGGCTCACAAGCCAAGCCCCAGCTCCTGACCCTCGATGATCAGGACCCCACCGTCCTATCCTGCTACACCCACTATCTCAGCCCTGCAGCTGGTGGCACTGTCTCCTGCAGAGTGGACACCTCTCTCCTCTCTGCTGCATCCTGCCCAGCTTCCTAAGCACACAGGCAGATGCATGCTCCTCCTAAAGCACCTCCTGAAGCCCTTCCTGCAGCTGTTAGCCCCCCTGCCTGGTCCAGGTCTCAGCTTAAACATCACCCCCTCTCAGACCTTCCTGGGCCTGTCTCCCAGGTCAGGTCAGATGCCCCTCGGTGGGCCCACCGCAACCTTCCCTGCAGCTGCCCCAGCAGGGAAGCTTCCTAAAGGGTGGAACCAGGCTGCATTCACCCAACCAGTCTTTCTACTTGTGCAGAAAGTACACCAGTCTATGCCTTGTGAGGACAAACGGGGACAGAAACTGAGGGCCTGCGGGGGGGATGAAGATGGAGACCCAGAGAGAGCAAGCAACAAGTGCAACCAAGAGAAAGGAAAAGAGACCCAGAGAAACAGAGCTTTGGAGGGAACAAGAGAGGAGGTATGAGAGCCCCCAGAGATCAAGGTCACGGGGAGGGTGGTACAGAAAGACCTGGAGAAAGAGCAAGTGTGAGAAGGGGACAGAAAGCCAGAGAAAGAGATCCAGAAAGAGGGTGGGGGCAGGGGGTGCAGCTAGAGACCTGGAGGAAAGAAACAACAGAGTCAGGACACAGAGGCTCGGGGGATGTCCGAGGAGCCCACCTTGATTTCTGGGGCGGTGCTGAACTGTGGAGGCCCATTGAGCAGGGCACCGGCTGCCTTGGCATCACTGAAGCTGGGCGTTGGGGAGCTGGGAGGATTCACAGGCAGTGGCACCAGGAGGCTGGGTCCCCCTGAGTTGTTCCCTGAGCCTGGGGCCACGCCCCCAGCCCCCGTTGGGGCTGCCGCACTGGGTTCCTTCCTGGAGAGAGAGCATGGAAGAGGGGGTTGAGAGGAGGGTCCCTGAGGGTGGGATGGGCAGAGAGGCCTGGCTGGAGAGAGGGGAGACTGCACAGATCAGATGGGATCTGAGAGGGGCAGGTGAGGGCAGACAGATGGGAGAAAGAAGTGGTTCTCTGGGCAAACAAAGGCAGAGCCCAATCTTTGGAATGGTTTCTCATCAGCAGAGCAGAGCTGTGGGGGTGGGGGTGAGGATTCTCGGGTGCTCCACCAGGCCACAGGCTGATCAAAACCACTTGCCCTGGGCAGGTGTTCACAGGGCCCACTCCCCCTTGGGCAGGCCAGCTGGAGCTGGGGTGAGGGGGCAGGAAGCAGGCCTTTCCTTTGTGCACACTGATCTTTCTTAGGGCATTCTTCGGGAAACAGGCAGACCCAGTGGAATGGTCTGAGCTAAGATTTGAAGGAGTGGCTGCAGAGGAATAAGGACTTCGGGACAATTCACTTTGAAAAGTGAAACAGTGACCCTCCGGTGGCAGTCAATTGGCCTCAGGCAGGTAACAGAAATGGGGAGGAAAGGGTATGGGGCTCTTGAGAAAACTTCCACTTAGATGAGAACGTATTTTAGAATGTTCTGAAGGGCAAAGCAGGGAGGCTGATGTAGTTTCCTTGCTGGAAAGAAGTGGGGGTGTAACACCCGAGGGAGATGGAGGATAGCGCTTGGCCATTCCCAGCAGCAAGGGCGGGGGGTTCAGAACCCACCGATGCGGGGGTGAGGCGCCTGCGCCTCTCTGTTTCAAAAGGCTGCCATCCCAACCCTGCCGATGGCCGAGACACTCACGAGGTGCTGGGAGGTGGGTTGTGGGGGCCGGAAGGGGGGCCCAAGGCCTGGCTGCTGGCATTGTTGCCCCCACTGCTGCTCAAAGCCACCTCTGCCGGGCTGTCTGCCACAACTGAGCTGTAACCTGGGAACAAAGAGTAAATGGAAAGGGCTGCTGCCTGCTGCCCAGCCCCGCCCACGCCCCCCACCCCGCTGCCTCCTCACTCACTGGTGGCGCCATTCTGCTTGCCAGCCCCTCCACCGGCACTGCTGTTACTACTGCTGCTGCTCCCTCCACCTCCGCTGCCGCCGCCTCCGCCTCCGCTAGGCTGGACGCTGGGGGGCCGGGGCTGGGTCGTGCTGGGCCCACTGGGAGCTGGTGGGGCCACAGCCTGGGCATAGGGAGCAGGGGTGCCCGAGTTGTGGCTGGGAGCTGGACTGGCCTTGGGGCCCAGGGCACTTGGGGGTGCTGCGGGGGCGGGGACCCCATTGTTGCCAGGAGTGGTGCTCAAGGCAGAGGCAGCAGGCGGGGGGCCGGAGGGGTAGGTGGGCGGCACAGCTGGGGACTGAGGGTGCTGGTTGCTGTGGACAGGCTTGGAGCCGTTTTTGGCTGGAGACTGCGGGTGGGAGAGAGCAGAGGGTCAGGACCCAGTGGGCCAGCTGGTCTCCCTCACCACCCCCACCTCAGGCTCCATCTTTGTCCCAGCAGCCTCCTCTCTGGCCTCGCTGCCCCCACCTGCTCCTGCCCTCTTGGGGACCTGGGTGACCTTACTCACCCTCATGGCTTCAATCACCTTCATGCTTAAAACACTCACACTGATTTCCAGCCTGCCCAGCTTCCCAAGTCCTGCCTGGACACCGCCCCATGGACACCCCCACAGGGATCTGACACACAACTTAGGTTGTCAGCCAGAGAAGATCCATCTGTTGGAAGCCAGAGGACTAGTGGGAAACACTTAAGTGTTCTCAATATGAGATTAGCTGGAGCCGCCTAATGTCCAAGAGTAGAAGGAAAAACAGCTGGAAATTGGATAGTAATTCTGAATGTCACCTGAAGGGTCACAGAAGCTACTCACAGGGCTGGAAGTTACCAGCACTCCAGAAAGTGGTGGGAGGGTAAATGTGCTCATGGTATCCCTACCGCAGGCAATCTGTGGACAGCACTCCGGCTGCTGAGCCTAACCACCTCCTGGGCTTCTTTCCAGCCACCCCACAGGCACCTTGCGCTTACCAAGCGCCCAACAGGACTGACTACCCACTTCTCTCCTGGGCATCGCTGCTTGGCAGTGGGGGCCTGGGAAGGTGGCAGAGCCCAGCCTGGCCCCTGGAGTACCTGCCTCAGTGTCTCTCCTCATCACCTCCTGGCCCTGTTGCCCGCCCTCACTACTACCTGCGGGTCCCCTTAGTCTCCACACCAGCCTCCTCAATGCCCACTCAGGGTGTCCCCTTGGAACCATCCATCCCGTTAGCCCACAGAGGGGCCTCAGGCCCATGCTGCTCCTGCCTAACATTGTTCTGTAGCAGCGTTTCCGAAAGCGTGCTCCTGTCCTGGGAGATGTTAAAGGAGTTGAAGAAGCACTGCCCGCCACCGTCTCCTCTCAGAAATTTGCAGTGTGTATTATCAGCACAGCAAAGGCCCCATCGCTTCCTAGGCTTATTGGACTCTGGAGGCCACTCAGGTCCACAAAGCCTGAGCCCCTCAGCCTGACAGTCCCAGTCCCTGTGCTCACAGTTGGGCCCTGGCCCTGCAGACCTGGCCAGACTCATCTCTCCTCACTTCCAAACTTTCTGTCACAACTTGCCCATGTTACTGGCTGCCACCTCTCCCTGCCAGGCAAACTCACCTGACTGTGAAGCCCAGGGCACTCCACAGCAGCATCTCCTGACTGCCTGGCCAGGCCAAGGGTGACCTGTGTGCTACCCCCTTGACCACAGCACCAGTCACCTGTCCACTTGCCCTGCCCACCTGCCCTCAGGGCAGCACTGATTTCTGAGCCACCTGTGTCCACCAGCCCAGCACAGTGGCCGGCGCTCAGGCCTCAAGATGCCTTTGGGAAGCAACAGAGGAGTGAATGGCGTGCCCACCCGGTCCAGGCTCACACCCACCTGGCTGACTTCACTGTCTGTGGAACGTCCCCTCTTCTTATCATCTTCAGAGTTTTCCTGAGGTAGGGGAGGCAGAATAGAAACCTGTGTGACCTCTGGGGCTCTGATGGAGAACCGCCAATCTCTGAATGCCCCGGGGACCTGGGCCCAATTGACTGCCATTGCGGCCCCAGAGCTGGTCAAATGGCTGTCCTTAATCTGCCTGGAGAAACCATCTCAATTCAGGCTCTCCAGTCTTCTTGTTTTCTGGGAGCCAGCACTGACCCACCAGCCTCTTAAGGATCTGGGAACCTGCTCTCCACAGGGAAGCCAACCCTTGGATCCCTGCCCAAGGTGGCCAGCTACCCAGCCTCCTCAGGCAGCCCAGGCACCGGCCCCTCCCACTTCCCAGATCCAGGACCTAAACTGGCGCGGGATGCACCCTATTGCTCTTTATGTCCTTTAGGGACCCAGATATAGGACCTTAGCGTGTGCTCCAAGAGCCTAGACCCTGGATACCTAGATCTGTGTTTCCTCAATTACGCTCCCATAGCCACTTTGGAGTGACCCAGATTTGTCTCCTCGAGTCCTGCCCTGCTGGAAACACAAGGTACTAGTGTCCCGTGGGGCCTCACCGTGGTACAGTTGGCTGGGCTGGGCGGGATGGGAGAGCTGGAGGTGGTTGAGGTGGGCGTGCTGCTGGACTGGTTGAAGATCTCATCCTCCATGTGGCTGTGGCTGGGAGGGGAGGTGGCGACCAGCGCCTGTGCTGTGGGGGCAGAAGAAGGGCATGCTTAGCTGGCTCACACAGCCCATTCTGGGCCCTCACTTCCTGTGCCACGATCAGCCCCAGGGCCTCACGAATGTCCTCGAGGTCCAGGTCATCGTAGAGAAACTCGTTCTCCTCGAAGTCGGGGTCCTGGGATGAGTCAACATAGTACTCAACGTCGTCCTTGATCTTGCGGATGGCGTCAACGAGGATGGAGTCATTGTCCAGCATGCGCAGGATGGTCTCTAGCATGCGCACGTGGTAGCGGTGCTTCTCGATGTGCCGCTTCAAGCCCTCAATCCGGTCCTGCTTCTGCTGGCGAGCCCAGGGCCAGGCTCAGGGGCTGCAGAGCACCTGCTTGGCCCCTCCTGCCCCCACAGAACCTGTCCTCAGTCCCTGACCCCTGTGGAGACCCAAAGCCTCCACGCCATCCCCTTCGGGGTGGGGCAGTATGGGGTCCACCCACCCTCTGAGCCCTGTGGGGACCAATCTTAGCCTTGACATCTTGGGATCCCACTGCTCCCTCCTCTCCCCACACCTTTCTGGCTCCAGGAGTCCTTGGAAACCTCTAAAAGACCCAGAGGTCCTTGTGCCATCCCACGACTTGGCCTCCATCTGCACCTCACCTGACAGCCCAGATTTCTCAACTGAGCCCGCCCACCACTGTGACTGCCTCTGGCATACAGATACCCTCCGACCTGCTCCAGCAGTAACAATGATAACCCCCATTTGTGAGGAGCTTGCTGTTTAGAATTGTGATATCTGTCATCACTAGGCCCCCAACCCTACCCATTTATCCCTGAGAGAGCCCAGATTCCTAAGCCTCGCTCCTGCCCTCCCCTCAAGGCCCCTTTAGGATTTAACATCTTAGCCTTGGTTCCAAATCTCTGCTCTGTTCAAGGACCCATCATCTCCCCGAAAGCCCCTGGTTCCCAAACCCCTCAGAGTCTGACACCCAACCCTGTCATCTTCCACTTCCTGACCCTCTCCCACCCACAGCTTCCCTGAGGACCCGGCTCTCCCCTCCCTGTCTTTCTGGTTTCAGCAAGTCTGTACAGTTTGTATCCCTTTGAACTCATACCCCACAATCCCGGATTTTAGAACCTGGGACCCCAACATCCAGCTTTGTCCCAGACTCCTGTCTTCCTTCAGGCCTGGTTCTCTGCCTTCTCCATGTTCTGCCTTGTCTCTACCCACTGTGCTCTCCCTAGGACCAGGGCCCTCTGGGTGCCAGGAGGCCTCTTGCCATGGGTGTCCTTCAGGTCTCACTTTTACTCTGTGGCCCAAGCTCAACCTGCACTCACCTTCCCCCAAGTCGCTCCTCTTCACAAAGGCCCCACGGTCTACCCAGACACCCAGGGGACCCTGAGATTCTGTCTGACCTCCTTCCTGCCCCACGCGTGCAGCTGCTAAGCCCTCCCAATCCTGTCTCTCAAATCCCTAATCCCGGCTGTTGGCCCTGTCCGCCTGAGGAATCCAGGCCCCAACTCCCAGGAGCATAAATGACTGGCCTCCTGCTGGCCAGCCCATTCCCATGCCCATCCCCATCCCAAAGGTGTCGGGTCTCCCTCACTCACATCCTTGTCGCCCTTCTTCTTGCGTGTCTGCACTGACAGTGACTCCACTTCACTCTCAAACTGGTCCACCTGCATGTTGAGCGTGTCGATGGTATTCTAGGGGAGGGAGAGGAAGAGGAAGCCCATCAGCTAGGGTTCCGCCTACACCCAGGGCTCAGGATCCTCAGAGTTCACCTCCTCTTCTCTACCCCAACTCACCGTGAGCCACTGGCCAACCTCTTCCTTCTCCTTCTGGGCAGGATCTACCTTCTGGGCCAGGCCCAGGCCCTCTTTGCTGTAAGCTTTGGTTTTGGTCTCTCGTTCCACAACTTTGAACCGTTCCATTTGCTGTAGAGAGTGCAGTTGGCAGGGGGGCTCTCAAAGGTGGGAAAGGAGCTGACTAAGGGCCAGCAGACACTCCGACCTGAGCCTCGTGACCCTACTTTCTGAGCTCTGAGTCCGCTGCCTCTTCACTTCCCTTAGGTGCAGAAACCTTACTTCTCTTGAGGACCTCTGGGGTCTGGCCGCTCTGCCTCCGCCCCTTGGGATCTCAAGAATCTGGTGACCTTCCCACCTCTCTGGGACTCAGGCTCTGGGCTCCTACCGTCTCAATGAGCTTGCGGTTGTCTATAAGCTGCCTCTTGTCCTTGATCTCGTTGGACGCTACCCATGTCTTGATTTGGTCCCTCAGCCGCTGCAGATGGGAAAAGCAAGAAAGTCAGACCTCAGGACCCAGGAACTGGGGCCCACAGCTCCTTCTCCCTGGGACCCAGCAGTCCACTCTCCCAGTTCCCTCTACCCTCAGGACAAAGGCGTCCAGGCCCCCAGCCCCCTCACTTGTAGCTTCTTAATCTCCTTCTTTAGGTCAGCCTCATACTTTTCTTTCTGGTTCGCGTTGGCTGCATTGTGGAGCTGAGGGATGGAGAGAATTGAGAAGTCAGTGTGGGAGGGGATGTCCCAGTACCCACTCCAGTGATTCTTCCTTATGCTAGGGACTCGAGGACCCCCCCCAACCCCTACCCCCAATCCATCTTAGAGCTGATTCTCTTAGGTCCTCAGCATCTGCATATGTAGCCCCTCCCGCTGGTCAACACCCAGAGGTCCTGAGCCGCCTTCCTGTGCCCTCCTCTCTGAAGACCCAGATTATTAGGGTCTCAGCCCCTGTACCTTCTGCCAAATATCTTCAAACTGCTCCACGCCCTCGGACACCTTCTTGAGGCAGCGATCAATCTCACCTGGCCAGGGAGGAACAAGGCTGTGAGAATCCTGCCCAGGTGGCAGGTATCTAAAGAGCAGTCCTCAGAAGAGGGAGCATGTGGCTACAGGTGCAGCAGGAAGTCAGTCTAGTACCTTGGAGTTTGCGCTTGTCCGCCATCTTCCCTGCCCTACAGACGCACTCTCTTCATACTCTCTTGGAGACGGACGCTGCTAGGAGAGATTGGAGAGGAATTAACACGTATTCCCTGGCTGGTAAAAACCCAGAGACATGGACCTAGTCAGCATAGTGAGGTAGGTGGGACTGGTAAAGAGAAGAAGCATTTGCTATCTGACAAGAGACCAGCCCCAGTTCTCCTGATGCTCGCTTGACTGCCCAGCATAGTGTCTGGCCAACAGGGGACCCCATAAGTTTGTTGAAACAAGAAAAGTTACATACTTTTTTGTGTGCCTCTGACTCAGGAAGTGGAAAATTCCTAGAGCATGGAGTACCTTCTCCCCAGAATACACTCAAAAAGGTTTTTCAGAGCAGGACAGTCATGCTGCACACAGCTGATGACTGGGATGGAGGCATTAGCCCTGGAAATCACACTTCCTACTCAGAGGGGCTGGGCAGAGGTGGCTAGGAGAGGTCATCCCTCAGACAAGTCAGGAGACAAATGAAACTGGCAGCTCACAGAGAAGGGCGTGTGTGTGTGTGTGTGTGTGTGTGTGTGTGTGTGTGTAAGCTGTAGGTAGGAGAAGAAAGATTGGGGGTGGGGGAAAACGACGGCGAGCAGAGATGCCGAAAGCTGTGAAGAGCTGAACCCGCTCATGCAGACAGGGCTGAATGCCAAGTAGAAGGGACTCAAACCACCAAGACATTTATTCCAGAGCAGGATCCTTAAACCAAAAGGAAATAACACTCCTAACCCAAAGAAGCTAATACCAAGAAGGCTTAGAGATTTGGGGGCAGAAGGCAGTACCCAAGAGAGACCTGGGAGAAGACAGAAATCTTACTAAGATAAGAGGGTGCAAAGGTACCGCAGCTGTGAGGGAGCCGATCTGCACTCATGGAGGAATCCCATAGCAAGTGGATTGGTAATTTAGAGTCAGGGAGACATAGACCATCAGGGCAGGAACCCAAAACTTCAAGAGAGGAGCGTCTTTATTTTAAAGGAAGTTACCTGGAACCCAGAGAAGACTGAGGTCAAAAGGGAGTTCCAAGGAGCTTTAGTCCAAGGGAAGACATACCTTAGGGCCTGACAGCGAGACCAGGGGAGCCCTGGGAAGAGAGGCTTATGCCTCAGAAGAAGACTTCTGAGATACCAGCGGAGATTGCCCTCTTCCCCTCCAGGGAGGGGGCCTACAATGAAAAGCACAGTTCCCTGGGATCCACGGGCCGCTCCCACTCTACGTGTGCAGGGCAGGGAACCCTGGAGTAGTCACTTACTGTAAAGACAGAAACAGCCCCATACTGAGGAACAAGAGCCTCAATACAGAGGGAAGTCACACCAAAAGAGTCCTCACCCACAAAGAAGGGAACATCTGGCAAACAGTGCTATCCAACAGAACTTTGCAATGCTGGAAACACTCTATTTGCGCATATCTGTTGGCCACTGAACATCTGAAATGTGGCAAGTGTAATGGAGGAACTGAATTTTTCATTTTTAACTAGTTACTAATCACCACATGTGACTAGCAGCAACCATATGGGACGGATATGCTTTAGAACAAGAAGCCCATAAAGGACAGGGCTGGTACCTTACCCCCAGGGAGAATTTTCCCAACACCGCAGGGACCCATTCTGGGTGATAATAGGTAGGGGTGCTACCTTACACTTGAGGGAATTTAAATCTCCTCAGTAAAAGGCCCAACCTAAAGAAAGCCGCAGCAGCCCCCGCCCAGGTCAGCTATCACGCCCTACCTGGGGAATCTCTAAGAAGGCAAAGCAACCAACAAAAGGACCCAGGAGAAGGTGCCACAGTGGGGATTCAGGCTGAGGAGGGGAAAGCCCCTTTGACCCAGGGAGCTCACACAAGGCAAGGGCCTGGACACCAGAGCTCAGGTGTGCAGGGATCCTCACCAAAGTCCAACACCCCAACACAGAAAAGCCTCTTACTGCATAGGGGGAACAAGAATGTGAAACGAGAGTTTACACTCCCTCTTTCCATCCCAAGAACCCAACAGAGGGTCATGGGCAGGTGCTCCAGCCCAGAGAGAGAAGAGGTCTCATGGTCTACACCCCTAAACAAGGCAATCAACACCTTAGGCAGGTGACGCCCTCCCTGTGTCTCCACACGGAAAGGACTGGTATCCTAGTGCAGAGGAAGAATACCCACAGAGAGGAGACCACACTGTGGCAGCAAGAGAAGGAAGTCCTGGAGGGGTCACAAGCCAGAAGGAGGGGAACAAGAGCGCTAACCCAGGGAGGTGATGTTTCAGACAGAACAGTGTGACATCGAAGTCGGCTACAGCTGAGACCCAGTGAGGAGGCAGCTCCTCCACAGAGAAGGGGCAAGTGCCAGAGGCCCAGGGTACTTGTCCCCTAGAGAGGCTGGAGCCTTAGCCACAGTAGAGACAACACCTTCCCCGCTAAGAAAATCCTTATATCATGAGGGTATCTGTACCTCTGGTCCCCCCAGCAAAGGACCAGAGAGAAGGGAAGCTGGAGCCTGAGTCTCGAAGCAGAGACGCCGCCAGAGAAGAAAGAGCCCCATTTGCTGTAGTCAGGGGGGCATCCACCAAGATCCTCCAAGGAAGGTGGTGATCGCAGGTCCACTCTCAGGCGTGAAGAACCTGTGCTCCAGCAGCAAAGGCTCTCCAAGAGCACTGAGGAATCTGGGAACCTCGGCCCAGGAGGAGACTTACCCAAGAGGAACACACATCCCCACAGGGAAGGGACCCACAAGGCGGGTGGCGGGGCGGGGGGAGGTGAGCAGGACACCAGCCTCACAGGAGCCAACACGCTAAAATCAGAGCCAAAACCAGTAAAGAAGAGCCCCCCAGACTTCATCTCAGGGAAGATGATACCACCACACAAAGACTCGAGGAGGGAGGGGCAGGAGGTCAGCCCTGGGAAACTAACACCGGGTGGTCCTTAACCTTGGGGGCCGTCATGTGCCCACAGAGTGGTCTTTGTCATGAGGCACCTTTGATCTGGGAGAGCTTCCGCCTCTGCAGCAAGGAGCTCTGAGAAGTGATGTTGAAGGGTGATCCTTAACCCAGGTGGCTGCTGACGTGGCCACACAGAGGCTCTGAGACTCCAGAAGAAGGATGCGTTAGGGCCTGGGGTAGAGGTAGTCATCTCCACTGAGATGCCCCATGCCAAGGGTGGGGGGCTGGAATCTCCCACCTTGGAAAGTCTACACCAGAGAAGTCTCTGGTCCCAGGGACAGGGTCTACAGTGGAGTCTCCCGCTTGAGACTCAGGTATCTTACATCCACACAGCCAGGAAACTATGCCTTACCCCATACAGTGACAAATCAAGAGGGGGTTTTGGAAGCATGAGCCGGGGGCACCTGCATCCGAGAGGGGTCCTCAGCCTTACGGTGGGGACACATGCAGAGGCGTGGACACCTCAAATCCAGAAAAGCAGCCATACCAATACCAAGGATGGCAAGAACCTTATCCCTGGGGGAGGTGACACCAAGAAAGGGTCCTTACCCTGGAGAGAAGGCACAGCCCCAGAGGGAAGAGCCCCCACCTCGCAGTACAGGAACCCGGGTCTAGGAAGCTTCCTACTCTCATGGGGTACCAGCAGCGGGGCCAGAAGGCGAAACCCTTGTTCTCCAACTGCTGACACCCAGCGTAAGGGTAGATGGGAAGTCAACAAACCCACAGTGTGGGATCTGATGCAAATATCAAGGGCAGTGGGCTTCTTGGTCCTTGGAGAGCTGACACCCTAAAGGAGGAGACTGGTGTGAAGATGGAAGAAGCCTCATACTCAGGCAGGGGTGAAGGGAGGGAGGGGAGACATCAAAACCCCTCACCAAAAGGACAGGAGAGCTCACCCCGGGGTGGGTGGCCGCCCTGCACTGAGAGGCAGGGACTGCTCAGAAAGAGGGGCTGGTGCTGCCCGCAGTGGGAGCTCACTAACATGGACAGCGTGGCGGCTTAGTGTCTTTCACCAGGCACCTGAGCGCCAGGGGATCCCAGCAGCCCCCAGCAACAAGACCACAGTGGTCCTGATATCACTGGGAGACGCCCACACCCAGAAGGTCGGAGAGTCACGATGCAGGGGAGTTCAAGGCTGCAAAGCCAGGGGCAGACGCCAGGATCAAAGAAGTGTGAGAGCTGAGACCAGACGTGGGCCACACTGAGGACGGTCCTGTACCCCAGGTGGGGGAAAGCCAAACTCCCCCAAAAAGGCAGGCGCCCAGTGCAGCGGGATGGCGAGGCTGGAGCCACCCAGGGCGCTACTCGCTATGAGAGGGAAGAGCTGCAGACTACAGAGGTGGAAACTTCGGCAAAGGCTCCAACTAACGGGGAGTTTCTCCTCCACTCCTCTCCCAAGAGGCTCCCATCCGATACAGACGGGCAGCTGGAACCTGAGATCCAGGGGAGGCTGCGCTCCCGGGAGCAGTGAGGAGGGATGCGGAGGGCGGCCTCGGTCCTGGGAAGGGTGACTCCCCCACCCAGCTGGGGTCCTCGTCCCGACCACCACCCCCCCTCCCCGCCACCGTCGAGGGAGAAGCCCCGGCGCGGAGGCTGCCCCACAACGCGAAGGACCGAGGCCGAGGGGGGCAGGCACCTGAGCCCCGAGAGGGCGGGCACCTGGGACCAGGGGCGCCTCCATCCTTCCAGCCAGGAGCCAATACCGACGCGGAGAGGGGCGGGCACCTCGCGCCCGGGAGGCTTCGCACCCTCACACCCCTACCGGGGGGCCCGACGCGATGCCACGCGGGGAGGCGGCGGCGGGCGGGGCCCGGGGTCCGGGTCGCGGAAGGACCCCCGGGAGGCGCTGAGGAACGTGAAAGAGGCGCAGGAACGGGAGGGCGAGAGGGAGGGAGCCGCCCCCCGCCGGGAGCCCCGCGCTGCAGAGGCGGCGGCAGGGGGCAGGCGAGGGGAGGCCATGTCGCGACAGACGGCGGTGTCGCCAGGGCGGGAGGCGGCGGGGAGGGCGGCCGATGGCGCCGGGGGGAGGAAGGGAAGGGGTCCGGCCCAGTCGAGCCTGACGCTCTCACCACAGGAGCTGGCGCCGCCGCTGAGGAGCGTATCGCGACAGGCGGGGGAGGCGAGCGCCCGCCGCCTTTTTCTCGCGCCCCGGGCCCGGGCGCTATCGCGATAGCGGCGCGAAGCGGAAGTGGGGTTGGGGGAGTGGGCCCGGGGTTGTTCTGACGACGGGGGTCGGGGCTCAAGGGAGGCCGCGGCGTCTGCCGATGGCTCCGCGGAAGCTGACCGGGCCCGGTCCAAGATGGCGGCGGCGGAGGAGGCCTCCCCTCCTCTCTTCTCGTCTCTGGCGCCGACCCGCCCCCGAGTCCCGAATATAGGCCAGTCATTGCTCCTGCTGAACGTCGCTCCTGACCCTTGGAGGCTTTCTATTGGTTCCTGGCAGGGATGCGCCCTGCCCCCTTTCGCGGATTGGGTGATCGCTCCAAGGCGCGGCGTTCGATTGGCCTCCCGCGCAGGCTGCTAGGATTGGCTCAGGTTTTCCTCCCCGCTCCTCCTCCTCCTCCCGCCTCAGGGCACAACACGCCAGCGCGAGGACCCGAACGTCAATCAAGAGACCTGTGTCGTGCTGATTGGATGTATCCGCCCCCCTCTCTTAAAACAATTGGTCTGGGGGAGGAGCTACGACAGTCCAGGGGCGGGAAGTCGTCCGTCAAGTTTAGAGCTCTTTTTAATTGGTTGCGGGGGCATATTCTGCCTTGAAGTCATTGGTTGGTCCTGGAAGTGGGTGGGGAAAGCGGAGGAAGGCATGGAGTGTGGGCGTTAGGGGCCGCGTACCTAATGGGAGACAGACAGGTGCCTTTAAAGCGGGGGCCGAGCCGAAGTCATCTGCCAATCAAAACAGCCACAGGGCCAAGTGGGAGGAGCTGGGCAAGAAAGTCCACCCCTTTTTCTTCGTTGGCCCTAAAAGTTATCATTCATGCTAGTTTGACCAATAGCGTGGCGAGTGGGCGGTAGCTGCTCGTAGAGCGTGTGAAAGAGGGTGTATGTAGCTGGCAGAAGTGGGACTTGGTCGCAACCGTTGCGTCCCGGCCAGGTAAGCAGCTTCCCTCTCAGCTGCCTCGTCTTTCTCCAAGTGCCTCTATGTTGGCACATCTCTGAAATTCATTATTTGCTGAGTGAAAGAAGAAAGGGACCAGAGACACTGCTTTAAGTCTCTGGCACCGTGCATAGCAGAATTGGTTGGGAAGCGTGAGGCATGGAGTTTTTGTCCTGCCCCTGCCTGGTTAGGCGACCAGATGGTAGGACAGTCATTCTCCTCTGCGTCTCCGCTTCCTTAGTGTGTTGAGGACGCTGCAGAAGGTACAGAGGAGACGGGTGGCTCCCTAATGCCTGCTCGTTTCAGGTCTCAGCTCTGTTGTCTTCTTGGAGAGAAAACTTCCCTGACCTCCCTCCCGGGCGGAGCGCTCCTGCGCGCCTTGTTCGTTAGGATTTATTTTTGTACGTCTACCGTCATTTTCGTAATTATTCGGTTTCCCTGTCTGGATTTTGCATCTCCAGCACTTAGCACGCAGGAAGTAGTCAGTAACCATTTGTCAAAGGAATAGATGAATGAATGTGAGGAATGACTTGTGATTGAAAACTTACTAGACACTGAGACTTCCACGAACTGGGAGGCATTTGCCCAGGGTCACACAACCGAGATGGGAAGCCAGATTCGCCCCTTCCTGTCTAGGTGGTGGAAAGTAAGATAAATCCCAGGGAGAGGTGAACGTGAAGGAGGATGGAGCCGTTCAGCACCACCCGCATCAGAATGGTCTGAGGCAAGGGGGAGGAGGAATGCTTGCGAAAATGCATATTCGTAGGCCCACACACAGACAACGGGAATGAAGCCTAGAGTTATTGTTCTAGAGCTCTGCTATTCAAACTGTGGCCCCTGGACAAAGTATCGCTTCTCAGACATCTCCGGAATCACCTAGGAATGTGTTAAAATGCAAATTCTGCTTTTCTAACAAGTGCCGCAGTCCACGGTCCGCAGTTCACTTTGCACACCGCGGATCTAGCGATGACTTTCCAACTTGGCTGCACATCAGAGTCACCTGAGGAACTTGTTGTTATTGTTGTTGTTGTTGAGACGAAGACTTGCTCTTGTCCCCCAGGCTGGAGAGCAGTGGCACAATCTAGGCTCACTGCAGCCTCTGCCTCCCGGGGTTCAAGTGATTCTCCCGCCTCAGCCTCCCGAGTAGCTGGGATTACAGGCGCCCGCCACCACGCCCGACTAATTTTTGTATTTTTAGTAGAGACGGGGTTTCACCATGTTGGCCAGGCTGGTGTCGAACTCCTGACCTCAGGTGATCCGCTCGCCTCAGTCTCCCAAAGTGCTGGGATTACAGGCGTGACGACTGCGCCTGGCCTACCTGAGGAACTTTAAAAAAAAAAAATTTTTTTTAAATTAGAGGCCAGGCCGGGCCGGGAGAATCACTTGAACCCGGGAGGCAGAGGCTGCAGTGAGCCTAGATTGCGCCATTGCACCTGTAATCCCAGCACTCTCAGAGGCCGAGGTGGGCGGATCACCTGAGGTAGGGAGTTCAAAACCAGCCTGGCCAACATGGTGAAACCCCGTCTCTACTAAAAATACAAAAATTAGCTGGGCATGGTGGCATGTGCCTGTAATCCCAGCTACTCGGGAGGCTGAGGCGGGAGAATCACTTGAACCTGGGAGGCAGAGGTTGCAGTGACCCGAGATTGCGCCATTGCACTCCAGCCTGGGTGACAGAGCAAGACGCCGTCTCAAAAAATAAAAATAAAAAATAAAAAAGTCCAGATACCCAGGCTTACACTGGACCAACTAAAACGATCTTGAGGTGGGAGCCAGTGTCTCTCTCACCCAGGCTGGAGTGCAGGGGCGCCATCTCGGCTCACTGCAACCTCTGCCTCCCAGGTTCAAGCCATTCTCCCACCTCAGCCTCCCAAGTAGCTGGGATTACAGGCGTGAGCCACCGCGCCCAGCGTAAGAGCCGCTTACAGAGTCTTCTTTTCTAGAGCAGTGCTTCTGAAATGTGGCCTTGGGTCAGGCACGTACCCATCACCTGGGAACTTGTTTGAAAGGCACATTTTTGAGCCCCACCCTAGACTGAATCAGAAACTCTGGGCCCAGCAACTATGTTTTAACAAGTCCTCAGTGTAATTCTGAAGCGCATTAAATTCTGAGAACCTCTGTTCTGAAAGTACGAGGGCTGCAGGCCCAGGCGACTCAAGATTCCTTTCCTGAGATTGACACCCTCATGCCACAGCCCCATTGGTAGATGCCGGATATTTTGGCCAAGGGAGATGGGGGATTCTGAACAGGGTTGTGGACCACGGGTCCTTCCCTGGCAGACCAGTATGTAGAGATCAGCAAAGGTTGTCATTTTCAAACAGGGTTGACCCAGAGGGTCAGGGATAACATTGAGAAAACAGACTTGAGTTATACAACCTGGGGTAGTTCAGCCACTCAAGGGAACCTCCTGAGTGTGTCGACTTTTTGACTTGAGGAAGGAGAGAGATTTAGAGATTGCCACTGAGGTCCAGAGACAGAGCTCTGGGTTGAAGGACAGGGATCCAGAGATACACAGAGTGGTGACGGGGAGGCCCAGAGAGGGGAACAGAAAGAGCAAAATCTCAGACAGGACCTAGAAAGTCAGAGGGAGACCCAGATAGCATGAGCTGGAGAGAGGGAGGGAGAGAGAGAGAGGGAAGGTGGAGAGAGGGAGGGAGAGAGGGAAGGTGGAGAGAGGGAGGGAGGGAGGGAGAGAGGGGAGGTGGAGAGAGGGAGGGAGAGGGGAGGAGAGAGGGAAGGTGGAGAGGGAGGGAGAGGGAAGGTGGAGGGAGGGAGAGGGAAGGTGGAGGGAGGGAGAGGGAAGGTGGAGAGAGGGAGGGAGGGAGGGAGAGAGGGAGGGGAGGTGGAGAGAGGGAGGGGAGGTGGAGGGAGGGAGAGGGGAGGAGAGAGAGGGAGAGAGAGGGAAGGTGGAGTGAGGGGAGGTGGAGAGAGGGGAGGTGGAGAGGGAGGGAGAGAGAGAGGGGAGGTGGAGAGAGGGAGGGACAGAGAGAGGGGAGGTGGAGAGAGGGAGGGAGAGAGAGGGGAGGTGGAGAGAGGGAGGGAGAGAGAGGGGAGGTGGAGAGAGGGAGGGACAGAGAGAGGGGAGGTGGAGAGAGGGAGGGACAGAGAGAGGGGAGGTGGAGAGAGGGAGGGACAGAGGGAGGGGAGGTGGAGACAGGGGAGGTGGAGAGAGGGAGGGAGAGAGGGGAGGTGGAGAGGGAGGAAGAGAGAGAGGGGAGGTGGAGAGGGAGGAAGAGAGAGAGGGGAGGTGGAGAGAGGGAGGGAGAGAGAGGGGAGGTGGAGAGAGGGAGGGACAGAGGGAGGGGAGGTGGAGAGAGGGAGGGACAGAGGGAGGGGAGGTGGAGACAGGGGAGGTGGAGAGAGGGAGGGAGAGAGAGAGGGGAGGTGGAGAGAGGGAGGGAGAGAGAGGGGAGGTGGAGAGAGGGAGGGAGAGAGAGGGGAGGTGGAGAGGGAGGAAGAGAGAGAGGGGAGGTGGAGAGAGGGAGGGAGAGAGAGGGGAGGTGGAGAGAAGGAGGGAGAGAGAGAGGAGGTAGAGACCTGGAGGCATCATCTTCCCACCAGGCTGCTGCTTGTCCTGGTAACATCTCTTAGGTAACTAACAGAAGCCCGACCTTGTAGGTCAGGTGACTAGCGCTGCCTCCTTAGTACCACCGTGTAGCCCAGCTCCGGAGCACATAGTAAATGGAACCCCTGGAGTTGCTCTTCCTTAACCTCTCCAGGGAGACGGTTTCATGCCACCCGCTAGGACAGCCCCTGCTGTCCCCTGGAAACTCTCCTGACTGTCTGCAGGCCACATTCCCCTCAGTCCAAGTAAAGGCGCTCCTGGCCGAGCCCCGGTTCCCGAGACTCAGTGACTGGAGGTCAGGGGAGGGGAAGTGTGCTCCTTCTGCTCACCTGGCAGGACTTTTATAGCAACCAGGTCCTACCAGGGCAGGAAGCCTGCCTGCTTCGCCTGTGCCCGGCTCCACACAGTCCCTCAACACTGGTTATAAATAAGAGGCTGGGCCAGGCACAGGGTAATCCCAGCACTTTGGGAGACGAGGCAGGCGGATTATTTGAGGTCAGGAGTTCGAGACCAGCCTGGCCAACATGGTAAAACCCCATCTCGGCCGGGCGCGGTGGGTCACACCTGTAATCCCAGCACTTTGGGAGGCCGAGGCGGGCAGATCACAAGGTCAGCAATTCAAGACCAGCCTGGCCCAAATGGTGAAACCCCGTCTCTGCTAAAAATACAAAATTAGCCAGGCGTGGTGGCGGGCGCCTGTAATCCCAGCTATTCGGGAGGCTGAGGCAGGAGAATCACTTCAACCTGGGAGGCGGAGTTTGCAGTGAGCCAAGACCATGTCATTGCACTCCAGCCTGGGTGACAGAGCAAGACTCCGTCTGAAAAACAAACAAACAAACAAACAAACAAACAAAACCCATGGGCGCCTGTAATCCCAGCTACTCAGGAGACTGAGGCAGGAGAATCACCTGGACCCGGGAGGTGGAGGTTGCCATGAGCCAGGATCATCCCACTGCACTCCAGCCTGGGCAACAGAGTGAGATTCTGTCTCAAAAAAAAAAATAATAATAATAATAAGAGGCCAGACACAGCGGCTCAAGCCTGTAATCTCAACACTTAGGGAGGCTGAGGTGGAAAGCTCACTTGAGCACAGGAGTTCAAGCCCAGCCTGGGTAATAGAGCACGACCCTGTCTATAAACAATTTAAAAATGGGGCTGGGGTGGTGGCTCACACCTGTAATCCTGGCACTTTGGGAGGCTGAGGTGGGCATATCATGAGGTCAGGAGTTCGAGAACAGCCTGACCAACATGGCGAAACCCTGTCTCTACTAAAAACTATAAAAATTAGCGGGACATGGTGGCACATGCCTGTAATCCCAGCTACTCAGGAGGCTGAGGCAGGAGAATTGCTTGAACCCGGGAGGTAGAGGTTGCAGTGAGCCAAGATTGCACCACTGTACTCTAGCCTGGGCAACAGAGCGAGACTCCACCTCAGAAAAAAAAAAAAAATTTAAATTAACCAGGAGGCCAGCTGTGCTGGTTCATGCCTGTAATCCCAGCCCAGGAGTTTGAGGCTTTAGTGAGCTTCATCGCATCACTGTACTCCAACCTGGGCAACAGAGACCCCGTCTCTAAAAAACCCAATCATAACAGGACCTGGTTATAGGGCGCTGATGGCAAGTCCCATGCTAAGTGCTTTCTGTGCATTCTTTCCAGTCCTGGGCACCTGGGCGTAGGTGTGGAGGCTTGGAAAGGTGAGGAGGCTGGCCTGAGGTGGACAGCAATCCCGGTCGGCCTGCGCTGAGATCTGCGGCTGTTGGCAGCCACATCATTTGCTATCAAAGTGACTGCGGCTCTCCAGGGGGTTGGAGAGGGCTTTTTCCTTCTGGGATCCCATGACGAGAAAGTAACGGGGAAGGGAGTGGGCCTAGACACCGCTTGGACCCGAGGGCCAAGCTCTTTTCTCAAAGCTCCACAGCTCTGATTCTTCTAGTTGCCCCGGCTGTTTGAAAAATGATCACTCCCCAAGGACAGATCTTGACAATGTCCTTTTAATTGTACTCTTTTCAAAAAATCTCCTTTCTCAGTTAAAAAAGACAAGGCATGATGAAGACCTGCTCTAGCCCATACTGGGCGGTGATCTCGGTCCTGGGGGAGGCCAGGCCGGACTCTTCCAAGGCCTCCTCCCTGGGCAGTCCCAGCAATGGGGCCAGTGGCAGGGCAGGTTCTCCCTGCCAGAACCCGATCCTAGCCCTTCAGAAGGACTGGACCTCTGTGTCCCTTCAGTGGGAAGCCACCTTGGACACACGCAGTCATTCAGGTGGACATAAGGCCACTCTTCTCGCCCTTGACCTTGAGGAACTCAGCCATGCTGGAGAAATACTTCTGGTTGGCCTCAGCCACCTTCTTCTCTGCCGCCTGTGGGTTCACAATCTCCAGGCCCTGGGCAGGTGAGGGAGAGAGGATGATGGGTTAGGTGAGGAGAAGGCCCCAACTGTGACCCATCAGAGCCCCCCAGGCCCTTCCCCATGGCACTCAGGCCTTGGTGGGCATGAGACAGTTTGCCTGTCCCTGGAGTTGCCCTGTCTTGGGAGATTCTGACTCAGTGGGTCTAGAGGGAGAGGGTGGGGAGGAACCAGGGCGCCTGGATTTGTACGAAGTTCCTCAGGGGTGCTAAAAACAACCAATGCTTGAGGACAGCCAATCCTGCCCAGTTTCTGCATAAGGAAACTGAGTCCCTGGGGGACATGGCTGGCCCGAGGTCCTAGCACAAATCACACCAACACCACTGACGATCATAGTGGCAGCAATGGGAGCCAACACCTGGCTGGCACTTCCTAAATATTTTCAAGGCAACAGAGCGAGCCCCCGTCTCTAAAAATAATAACAGGACCCAGTCATTGGGCTCTAATGGTGAGCCCAGTGCCAAGTGCTTCCTGTGCGTTCTTTTCAGTCCTGAGCACCTCATGATGGAGGAGGGGAGGCTTGGAAAGGCACAGCCACTGGCCTCATCTTCTCAAAGAGGCCCTCCCTGGCTGCTCCGAAACGAGAGCCTCCCCTGTCCCACCTCCTACCTTCCACCTCCTCCCCTCCCTGGCATTTCTGCCTTCTTTTTTTTTTTTTTGAGACAGAGTCTGGCTCTGTCGCCCAGGCTGAAGTGCAGTGGCGCGATCTCGGCTCACTGCAAGCTCCGCCTCCCGGGTTCACGCCATTCTCCTGCCTCAGCCTCCCAAGTAGCTGGGACTACAGGCGCCCGCCACCACGCCCGGCTAAGTTTTTGTATTTTTAGTAGAGACGGGGTTTCACCGTGTTAGCCAGGATGGTCTCGATCTCCTGACCTCATGATCCACCTGCCTCGGCCTCCCAAAGTGCTGGGATTACAGGCGTGAGCCACCGCGCCCGGCCTGGCATTTCTGCCTTCTACTACACTGGGCATCTTACTGAGCTGTCTGCGCCCAGCCTGGCATTTCTGCCTTCTCCTACACTGGACATCTTACTGAGCTGTCTGCGCCCGGCCTGGCATTTCTGCCTTCTCCTACACTGGACATCTTACTGAGCTGTCTGCGCCCGGCCTGGCATTTCTGCCTTCTCCTACACTGGACATCTTACTGAGCTGTCTGCGCCCGGCCTGGCATTTCTGCCTTCTCCTACACTGGACATCTTACTGAGCTGTCTGCGCCCAGCCTGGCATTTCTGCCTTCTCCTACACTGGACATCTTACTGAGCTGTCTGCGCCCGGCCTGGCATTTCTGCCTTCTCCTACACTGGACATCTTACTGAGCTGTCTGCGCCCGGCCACCCACTGGCTCCAAGAAGGTAAGACTTGTCTCTCATTCGTTGCTTCATCCCCAGAGCCGGGAACACTGACAGAACTCAGCAGGTGCTGCGTAGACACCCGCTGACTGGGCAGATGAGCTCGCTGCTGTCTCGCCTCCGTGGTGCAGGCTCGCCCTGCTCTGTGGATGGTAAACCGAGGCTCCGACGATGCGGTGACTGCCATGCTCCACGCTGCTCACTGCTGACTGGCTGGGGCCTGGACCCACACTTGACATCCAAGCCCGCCTAGCCGGGAACTTTCTCGAGTGGGGTCCTGAGGTTACCTTAACCGTCCTGGCCGTTTTGAACTGGAGGGCCTGGAGGCTGAGCAGTGTTACCCGCTCACAGCCCGACAGAGGAACTGGGTGCCCTGAACACAGCTGTGGGCCTGGTTCTAAAGCAGTGCGTGCTCACGAGGACTGCTCAGCGCTGGGCTCTCGTCTCTGCTAACCTCTTCCTGTGTGCCAGGAGCTGTCTACGTCCTCTGCATACCTCGTCACCACACCCTCCACAACAGCCCCATGAGGAGACTCATCCTGGCCTTCTTCACAGGGGCAGAGGGCAAGGGGCCTTGCCAAGGTCTCAGGGCTGGGGACAGAGCCGGCCCAGGGGAGGTACCTGGAGTGGGGTGAAGGCCACGCTGGAGGCCGTGCCCGAGGAGCGGTCGCGGATGGTGGACTTCCCGCCATATACGACGCTCTGCTTCTGCAGGGTCCGCTGTGGGGAGGACAGGGAGGCTGCGATCTGGGCTCCCCCCACCTTGTGTCCCTCGGTCCCCAGCCCCACCTGGGTCTGGCCCATACCTGCAGCGTCTTGGAGATCCTGGCCTTGGTGGCCTCGTTTACCTGTGTCTGCCGCACACGCCCACTGCCCGACTTGCCCAGGTGGCCCAGGCTGAATCCCAGGTCCTCCTGGTAGGCGTCCTCCTCGATCTAGGGGGAAGAGGAGGCGCCCTGCAGTTCAGCGACCAGGCCCTGCCCTCCAGCCACCGAGGCACCCCCTCCACCAGCCGGAAGCCCAGCGGTCACCAGCCGGCCGGTCCCACGGGCACCTGCTCCGGTACCCACTCGGCCCGGCTGAGGCCTGGGGGCCCACACACGCGGGGGATGCCGGGGAGCCTGAGAGGGGCCCGGTCCCAGCACTGCTCTGTGAGCTCAGAGTTGGGAGGCCATTCCTTCCTTACTCGTGTGGGTCGGGGGATGTCAGGAACCAGAACAGGTTTAATAGGATGAGGTGGCCTCTGAGTTCGGTCCTGCAGGACCAAGGGGATGACGCTGGGATAACAGAGGAGACTGGCGGGGCCCAGGGACGGGGCGGCCGTGCAGCAGGGCACTAAGGAGCCTCTGGGCAGGGAGGAACCGGCCAAGGAGCCCGGGGCGATGGGAAGCCGCGGGGGCTCTAAGCAGCGGAGACACAGGCTCCAAGGGCCGCGAGGGTCGCTTTGGGGCTGAATGGATGGAAACGAGAATAGAGGCCGGGGGGGAGGAGGCTGGGGCAGCGCCCTAGACATGAGCCAGGGCCACAGGACGAGAGGAGGGGCGGTGGCAGGAGGCAGAGGGCGGTGGCGGCTGGCTGGCTGTGGGGTTGAGGAGGGCGCTCTGGGAGTCTGACCTCTCCGAAGCTCATACGGTTGGCCTGCTTCCGGATCTCCGTCAGCCCCAGCCGCTCCTTCATCTTGCGGTACCTGGGGACGGGTGGGTGGGCGGCGCCAGGGAGTCGGCTGGGAGGAGGACGCCGGCTTCTCCCCTCCATGACCCCCATGCCTACCGGACCCCCAGGGCCCCTCACCTGCGGCCGCCTCGCTTCTTCCGCTGTCCATCCAGGGGCGCAGGCAGCGGCTTCACCTGCTTCACAGGCGGCGGCTCCTGCCACTTGTCGAATTTGCGCTCGATCTCATCCTTCAGTTCGTAGCCCACCTGGGGAGGGCGAGGGGGAGGTCCTGCAGCTGCTCGCGTGGGCTGCCCACCCAGGCCTCCTCTGAGCGGACCCCCCGAGTATCCACGTGCCTTAGTTAAATCAGCACCTAATGCTGCCTCACCGCCACCCCCTTTCTTTTTCTTCTTGGTGTTGACTTAGCACCGCTAGACGCAGGACAGAGTTCACCTGTTGACTGTCTCTTTGACCCGGCCCCAACAAGAATGTCCACGCCACGGGGCAGGGGTCCTGTCTGTGCTACTCACAGCTGCACCCCCACACCCAGACCAGGGGTGAGATGGGGAGAGGGAAAGGAGAAGGGGACACGGAACACCTGAACGCTGTGCCAGGCCGGGTGCTTGGCAAACGACAGTTCACAAGACAGAAAACGTCTCCTCTCCCGAGTACATCTACCAAGGAAGACAGAAGGTAACTGAATAATTACTTGAATAACATCCCCTGTTGCAGCGGGGACAGATCCTGGTGTGGAAGGCAAATTACGCCCCCACCAACACACACATGCCCAAAGAGGCCCATGTTCTAATTCCCAGAATCACAGGGCAAAAGGGACGTGAAGAGGTTAAGAAGGATTTTAAGGATTGTGAGCTGGGAAGACTATCCTGGACCATCTGAGTAGGCTCAGTATAGCCACAGGGGCCCTTAAAATAGAAGAGGGGAACAAAAACAGAGGCCGAGATATGAAGACAGAAGCAGAGTCAGAGAGAGGTCTGAGGGTGCTATGTGGCTGGCTCCGCAGACAGAGGGAGGGCCACGAGCTAAGGGGTGCCAGTGACCCCTAGAAGCTGGAAAAGACAAGGGAATGGATTATCCCTTGAATCCCCCAGAAGGAACGCTCCAGGATGACACCCTGACTTCAGCCCAGTGAAACTCATTTTGGACTTCTGACCTACAGGACCACAGATAATAAACCTGTACTGTTTTTTGTTTTTGTTTTTAGATGGAGTCTCGCTATGTCACCCAAGCTGGAGTGCAATGATGCAATCTCAGTTCACTGCAACCTCCGTCTCCCAGGTTCAAGCAATTCTCCTGCCTCAGCCTCCTGAGTAACTGGGATTACAGGTGCGTGCCACCACACCCGGCTAATTTTGGTAGAGATGGGGTTTCACCATGTTGGCCAGGCTGGTCTCAAACTCCTGACCTTGTGACCCGCCCACCCTGGCCTCCCAAAGTGCTGGGATTACAGGCGTGAGCTACTGCACCCGGCCACACCTGCACTGTTTGAAGCCAGTAGGTTCATGCTACCTTCCAACAGCAGACCTAGGAAACCCCACTGGGGAAGGGGGTGCCTGACCCCAGGGAGGGTGGGCAGAAGCACTGCCTCCGCCTTGGTAGGACAGTGCTCGCTGGGGTGGGCTCCCTGCTGAGGGTCTCCCTGCAGAGACACCCCAGGCCCAGAGGAAAAGACGCCCGGCCGCCCCTCACCTTTCCCTCCTCACCTTCCCTTCTGTGCTCTCGTGGAAACTGTCCACACGGGCTGCCAGTGTGCACTTGGCGGCCACCAGCCGGGCCGCTTTCCGCCGCAGATCCTGGAGCAACGGAAAACGGGGGTGGAATCTGTGTGAGACAGACAGACAGAGGTAACAGCAAAGCAACCGCGCGCGCTCCTCCTCTGGCTCTACCTGGGGTCCTGGAAGGGGGCTTTCCACCCTTGGGCTCTAGAGGTGTGTGCTCTCAGCTCCTACTTCACAGGAAGAGGGGATGAGGGCAGGGCACAGAGCCATGTCCCAGCTGATAAGTGGCCATCAGGTAAGGATGACAGTAAGGCACGCTGACAACGAGGACGGTGGTGACTGTGGAGACGCCGGGGGGAGTGCACTCGGCCTGGATGCCAGCCCCATGCTAAGCACGCCCCTCGGATCATCTCATCAAATATTCAAATATTGGGCTGGTGTGATCATTGCACCCCCTTTTCAGATGTGGAAACCAAGGCTTCAAGTCATGTGGCCAGGGAGACAGCCAGCAGGTGATGGAGCCAGGGTTCCAATCCAAACTGCAAACAGAGCCCAGCTGTCAGCCACAGTGAAGCGATGGCCAGCCCTGGCCTCCCTTACAGGCCTGTGGTGTCTACGGCCTGTGCCTGGACCGATGTGAGATGGCCAAATGAAGAGGCAGAGGCCTGGGTGACAAGACATCAGGCTCCCTGGGGCAGGTTTAACCCATATGCCCAGGGCTGTGAGGCGGTGGCGATGGCAGGGGTGCAGTGAGGCAGCTGGAGCCCCGAGCCCCAGGCCCACCCGTCCTGGGTTCTATCGCCCACTCTCTCTCCTCCCAGGATGGGGTGACCTGCCAGCCTCCCTGGGTGTGTTCCAGTAGCAGTGCCTGACCTAAAGGGTCGCAGAAAAGACCACAAAAAAAACCCCACACAGGGCTGGGGGGTGGGGCCAGGAAGTGCCTGCCCAGCCTTGGCCATCAGTGCTATTGTTCTCCCCATCCCTGGGGGAGGCCAGGCAGGGCACAGGGCCGTGAGCCTGAGGTAACTCGCCACAGTCGGACAGAGCAGGGTCTGGACCCAGGCCTGTCTGTCCCAGAACCTGTCTTGTTTTTTTTTTTTTTTGAGACAGAGTCTCACTCTGTCACCCAGGCTGGAGGGCAGTGGTATGATCTTAGCTCACTGCAACCTCCACCTCCTGGGTTCAAGCGATTCTCCTGCCTCAGCCTCCCAAGTAGCTGGGATTATAAGTGTGTGCCACTATACCCAGCTAGTTTTTTGTATTTTTGGTAGAGATGGGGTTTCACCATGTTGGCCAGGCTGGTCTCGAACACCTGACCTCAGGTGATCTGCCCGCCTCGGCCTCCCAAAGTGCTGGGATGACAGGCACGAGCCACTGCGCCCCGCCAGGCTAGCGGGCCTGTGTGTGTGCTGTCAGGCGTCGATGCTGGGATGGTGATGTGTCCCGACTGCAGGGAGAGGACCCGGGAAGCTCCGAGGTTGGTGACCTCTCCTGCCCCTCCTGTGTGTCTCTCCCCATGGCTGATGTGCAGCCCTCAGTGGATTCTGTGAGTCTTTCTAGTGAATGGTCAAACCTGAGGGTGGTCTTCGGAGCAGTTGCACGCTAACCCGACGCTGCTTGTCGTGAGCTAGGCCTGAACTGTAAGTGCTTCATGTGCACTGAGCCCTCGTCCCAACTCATGAAGCAGGCGCTGTGCTCCCATTTGATAGGGGAGGAGACTGAGGCACAGGGCGCTCATGCCTCTTGCCCACAGTCACCTGACTGGTGGGTGCTGGAGCTGGTCTGCTGCAGAGCCCTGGCTCTCACGTCCCATGCCACCCTGTTCCCAGCTCCTGAGTGCTACCGTCAGCTGGGCCAGATGGTGGGTGGCTGCTCAGGCTGTCTGGGCACAGCGGAAGGCTCCAGGGGGGCCGGGGGAGGGGCCATGACGCAGTGGGCTCACCGGTGGCAGGGACTGCACGATGTCACTGTGGTAGATGTAGCCGGTGTGGGGCAGCACTGAGGTAGACGAGAAGCCCGACAGCGTCTTGCGCTGGGCCCCGAGCAGCATGATGTTGCAGGCGGGCATCTTGGAGAGGTTGGTCAGGCCGCCGGCCACACCTGCGGTGGGAGGGAGGGAGGAAGGGGGGGCGGTCAGAAGAAAGCAGAGAGGTGGGGGTGAGTAAATCTGCCTGGGGGCTCGACGTGTGCTGGGCACCTTTACATGAAGTTCTGGTTGGATTCCTCGATGGCCCTGCCAGGCGGGCGACCTGGCCCATTCCGCAAGGGGCAGATGCAAAGGAGGCTCAGAGAGGGAGGGCAGCTGGCCTGGGGGTGCAGGGAGGAGGCCCCCAACAGGAAGCTGACCACCACGTTTGTGCTAAGCCACACTAACGCCGTTCCAGGGATGGCTGTGTTTTGGAACCATTTTCACCAAACCAGGAGCTCCCTGACAACAGGGCCTGGGTGTGGTCATCTCTGGGTTTCCGGCACAGGGGAGGGAGAAGGAGCTGTGGGTGAGTGTTTTTCCCACAGACGAGGCTTTGCTGTGTGCCAGGCTGGCTGACCTCTGTGATGTCCAGGGAGACGGGGTGCTGAGGTCCAGGTGCCAAAGCCCCCATTCTACAGAAAAGGATGTAGCTTTCCCAAGGTCACAGTGTCAGCAGACCCCCGCTCCATGGGACCCAGCCCGGGGACTCACCCATGATCTTGGCGGCCGTGGATGCCCCGATAATGATGGACAGGTTGGGTGCGATGAAGGACATCCGGGACTCCACATACTCGTAGATGCGGTGCTTGGAGGCGTTCAGCTCCAGCGCCATGTCGCAGGCCTCCTCCAGCCGCTCCAGCTCCTCCTCCGACAGCTGCTGCCTGCAGGGGCGGGTGGGCCCAGCCTCCTGGATCTCCCGCCTGCCTGGTGTGCCCAGCCCCAGCCCTCTCGGTTCTGTGTGTGTGTGTGCATGTGTGTATGTGTGTGTGCGTGTGTACACCTGCGTGTGTAGCTCCAGCCTAATCCCCAATCCCATTAGGGCCCGGCGCCTCCCTCGAAGCGGACATACCCCTGGGTGGTGGAGGCGGTGACGCTGACGACCATGATGGTGGCATTGGTGAGGATCTGCTGCAGGTTCTCATTGTTCTTGCACTTGTCCAGGCTGTTGCCCAGCTCCTGGGGGCGAGCAGAGAAGATAGGGGAGGCTCGGGAACTCAGGAAGGCTCGAGAACCTCTCTTGCTCAGCACCTCCTCAGGTCTCTTCTTAGGGACACTGGGACAGTCAGGGTCTCTGCACTGGGGGCCTCTCCTGCCTCCACCGCCTGAAGCATCCACACCATTCCTGCCTCCACCACGTCAAGCATCCACACCATCTGCCCTGCTTTCGCTGACCTGGAAACGGAGCCCGGGCAGAGTGGCGTCTGGAAAGACTGTGGCCTCACAAGCCTCTGGCCTGCGTCAAGTCGGAGTGCAAATCCGCGGCCTCGCTTCCCTGCAGGGGCTTCCCCACCGCCATCCTAATCCTTTCCTGGACATGCGTGGGGACCTCCTCCTCTCCCCGCCCTCACGCACACCTGCCCCTCTTTTCCGAAACCCTTCCTTGGCTTTCTCCTAAGACCCAAAGGCTGGACGTGATCCGACCTCTTCCCCGTCCCCTCCTTCCCCGCCTCACTTCCTCCCCACTTGTTCCCTCTCCAGCTCTCTGCACTTAGACGTCTCTCTGCCCCAAATCTCCGTGTGCCTGCCCTGTGTCAACCTTCGGATGTCAACTCCAATGCCACCGGCTCCAACCACAGCGGGAGCAGCGTGGGTCAGGCCAGCGGGGAAGCCCTCTCGGGAGACTGGGGTTGGAGGGGAGCCCTGAGAAAGTCCTGTCCAGGCTCCGTCCCTCCCACGCTGGGCAGAGCAGACCACTGAGCCCTCGTCCACTCCTCTCCATCGTCTCCAGACCCTGAGGCCTCTGGGAGGGGGTCCGAGAGTGAGCCCCGCCTGCCCCTTCACGCCAGCAGAAGCACCCCACCTTCTCTGCGCTCACCTTGACCGTGCGGATGTAATCCAGTGCATTGGGGACCAAGGACTCCAGTTCAGGGAATCTCTTTGAGTACTTATCCCGGATGAACTTATGGATGATGTCTAGGGTAAACGGGACAGGAGGTTGTCGGGTGAGATGGAAGGTAGACTCTGCTGGTTGGCCCTAACACCCATGTCCCCTTCTTCCTTTAGTAACTGAAGCCCTGGCTTGTGGCCTGGCACACGGGCACCAGCATACAGCCTTTCTCAGCCGTCCTTACCGCTAGGTGTGACCAGGGGAATTAGTTCTGGTCTGTAAAACGTGAGCTGCAGTGACATGTTCTTAAAGAAAAGAAGCGCCTTGCTGGTGGGAATGCGGAGGTGATGGCTGGAGGTGGGGCAGTCACCTCGCACCGTGAGGCAGGTGGCCGACCAACAGGATGGAAAGAGCCGGGGCCCTACAGGCAGCCAAGCGGCCACACCATCCCCGAGTGCTCCTCAGACTCATACGCGAGAGAACGCACTTCCTTCTTATTTCAGCCACTCTGTGACAGCAGGTCAACCTCGATCTGAGCTTGGGCTTAGGGGCAGGACCCTGGGAAAGGCCAGTGGGGAAGGGAGAGGGGGCGTGAGGGACGTCACACGGGGCTGTCTCCGCCTGCCCCCCAGCACTCACTCAGCTCGTTTTCGATCTCCACGGTCAGGTTGTTGGCATCCACGATGACGCGGTATTCAGGCGCGGCCTCCACTGGTCCCATCACTGTGAGGACACGGAGGCATGGGTGTGAGTATCTAAATCCCTACCCCCTCTCGGGTCCCGCAGCTGGAGGAGGCGGAGGATGAAGTTGGGAGGGGTCAGGAAGGAGGGGCTGAAGAGTAAACCAGGGACAGGCTGATGTCTGCAGACATCCCTGAACTTGTGTTCCTGCCTTCAATCCCTCTCCCTCCACACCAGTCTAGACTTGACCCCATCTACCCCAGAACTGACCGTGTGAAACCTCCTACGGCTCCCCACAGCCCCAAGGCTAATGACCGAGTCCTCAGACTGACATTCAGGGCCTCCCCAACTCCGGAAGCTCTGCAGGGACCAGTGCTGTGCCTGCGTTGGCTGTACCCACAGCCGAGTACCCAGGACAGCACCTGGCACACAGGGAGTTCCCCCGTTCCTGTTTGCTGACTCAGCAGCTCTGCAGTCTGGCCTCCCGCCCTTCCCGCCCCATCCTCTCACCACACCTCATTTTATTCCACTCCAGCCATAAAGGAGTGATCACAGTGCCCCAGACACCCACTCCTCCTAGCCTTTTTTTTTTTTTTTGAGACATAATTTCGCTCTGGTTGCCCAGGCTAGAGTATAGTGGCATGATCTCAGCTCACTGCAACCTCCGCCTCCTGGGTTCAAGCGATTCTCCTGCCTCAGCCTCCTGAGTAGCTGGGATTACAGGCATGTGCCACCACGCCCGGCTAATTTTTTTTGTTTGTTTGTATTTTTAGTAGAGACGGGGTTTCACCATGTTGGGCAGGCTGGTCTCGAACTCCCGACCTCAGGTGATCCATCTGCCTTGACCACCCAAAGTGCTGGGATGACAGGCGTGAGCCACCGCGCCAGACCCCTCCTGGCCTCTGCATGTGCTGCTCCCTCTCCCCAGAGCATCCCTTACCCCACGTCTGTTTCTGGAAAACGCTTCTTTGTGCTTTAGTAATAAGAGGTCAGGCACAGTGGCTCATACCTGTAATCCCAGCACTTTGGGAGGCTGAGGCAGGAGAACTGCTTGAGCCCAGGAGTTGGAGAGCAACCTGGGCGACATAGGGAGACCCCATCTCTACACATAATTAAAGAAAAAAAATTAGCCAGGCATGGTGGTGTACACCTGTGGTCCCAGCTGCCTGGGAGGCTGAGGCAGGAACGCCTGAGCCCACAAGGTCAAGGCTGCAGTGAGCTGGGATCGTGCCACTGCATTCTGGCCTGGGTGACAGAGTGAGACCCTGTCTCAAAAAACAAACAAACAAAAAGATGTTGTGTTTAAAAGTCATGCAAATACTAACTGCCTGATGTCACAGCCAGTAGAAGGCAGAGCTCAGATCTGACACCAGGCAGGGCGGCGTCAGAGTCTGCACTCCTAACCCTGATGCTCAAATGGCTCTTTAAGTCCTTAAGACTCAGGCAGCGACTCAGAATCCTTCCCTCCCTTTCTGGAAGGATCAGACGCCTCCTCTGTGTACCCGCAGCACTTGTGCACCTCCAGTAAACAGGGACTGCCACAGCTTGTGAGATGTTTCACCTCTGCCTCCTCAACCAGACACCGGGTGTGACGGGGTCTGACTCCATCCCTGAGCCTGGCCTGACATCAGGAAATGTCACTTTCTGTGTCCCATAACCCTCTGGAGGGAGAAATTCCTTGGCCTGGCATCTGGAACTCTGCAGGATTCTCTCTCCGGATATCTGAGGCCCCGGGCCTGCCGCTGTCTTTCCCTGGGCCCCCTTCTCCCTTTCTTTGCCTGGCACATGCATTCATGCTCTACAGTCCAATTCAGCTATCGATTCTTCCTGACACCTGGGGCAGGGTCAGCCAGTCCCTCCTGTGGCTCCGGTGTCCCCAGCTTGGTACCACCACTGATAGCTGTCTGGAACCTGGCCTGCCTCTTCCACTAGACCTTGAGTACTTTGAGAGCAAAGACCTGGGCGATTCAACTGGGTGCCCAGGTAAACGTTAAAGAAAGCAAGCAGTGAGTCTCCCGAAACTCTGCCCTCTCACTACACTTCTTTCCCCAGAAACCTCCTATGGCTTCCTGTCATCAACAAATTCCATTCAAGAAGAATGGGAAGGCTGGGCGTAGTGGCTCATGCCTGTAATCCCAGCACTTTGGGAGGCCGAGGTGGGCGGATTACTTGAGGTCAGGAGTTCGAGACTAGCCTGGTCAACATGGTGAAACCCCATCTCTACTAAAAAATACAAAATAGCCAGGCATGGTGTTGCATACCTGTAATCCCAGCTATACATAAGGCTGAGGGAGGAGAATCGCTTGAACCCGGGAGGTGGAGGTTGCAATGAGCCAAGAACACATCACTGCACTCCAGCCTGGGCGACAGAGGGAGACTCTATCTCAAGGAAAAAAAAAAAAGAATAGGAATGGTAACAGGACTGCCCTCTTAAGAGTGAGTCTGAGCACTCATGAGATAAGCTAGTGTTCTCTCAATTTGGGCATGAGAAAAGGTTTTAGGTTATTTTTTTTTTTTTTGAGACGGAGTCTTGCTCTGTCGCCCAGGCTGGAGTGCAGTGGCACGATCTCGGCTCACTGCAAGCTCCGCCTCCCAGGTTCACGCCATTCTCCCGCCTCAGCCTCCTGAGTAGCTGGGACTACAGGCACCCGCCACCACGCCTGGCTAATTTTTTGTATTTTTAGTAGAGACGGGGTGTCACCGTGTTAGCCAGGATGGTCTCGATCTCCTGAACTCATGATCCACCTGCCTCCGCCTCCCAAAGTGCTGGGATTACAGGCGTGAGCCACGGCGCCCGGCCTTAGGTGGTTCCTAAATAATTATATATCTATTTTTATACAGTGACTTTGTCTTTGCCAAATGATACCAGTTTTCCATTCATGGTAGCAATTTGCTTCCTTCTCAGATAAATTTAAGAAAAAAAGTCCTAGACTCAAAGAATATGTTAAGCAAATAATAGGATAAGCGGCTTATAGATGTGGCAAAAACCCTGTAACCGGTCATGTGAATCAGTGAAGTCTGGGAAACCTCAAGCTGAGTCCTATCATGATCAGTAAGCTCAGCACACAGGAAGGACTTAAGAAGCATGAGCTTTACAATGCAATATATATTTAGTGGAAAAGGGAACGGGTTGGGGTGAAACAAAAAAAAAAGAAGGCTCTGGAAAAGGCTGAGAAGGAGATATACCCAGCCACAAGCAGCCAGGGAGCCAGGGGGCCTGGCAGGAGAGACAGGAGATGGGGAGGGGCACAGAGTGGGAGGAAGCACCTTCTGAAGCTTTGGCTTGCTTGCTGATATACTCCTCAATCTTCATCATAATCTCAGCAAACTGTAGGAAAGGAGAAGACAGTCAGAATCCAGCACTCTTCAAAAAGAAGCCTGTATCACCCCCTTCTGGGAGATTCTGTCTAGAGCCCCCTGCTAGGAACACCTCTTGTCCTCTTACCATCTTACTATCCCATAGCTTGGCGATGGTCTTGACTGAATCCCCGGAAAGATCCAGCTGTGTCTCCTCCTGCACATCCTCGATCGCTGGCTCCTCTTCTTCCTCCCCATAGCTTCCTCCTTCCTCCTCTTCTGCTGCCTCTTCGAGATCAGCTAAGAGCTCATCTGCCAGAGACATCCCGAGGCCTGGGGAGGGACAGCAGCGTTCCCTAAAAACTTGCCCCGACAAAGTCCCTCCTTATTACTGAGCGATGATTCTCCCCCAGAAGACCCTGGTCCTTCTTTATCAACCCCACTAGCATGCAGGCTCCACGACAACAGGTGCTTTAGTTTGTTTTGTTCACTGGCGAGTCTCCAGCTCCGACCTGTGCAAGACGCAGCACACCCCTATGACCGCCACCTTGCTAAGACTTACTGGAACCAAGTGGTGTAGATTCCAAATGCATTTGCAAACTTTCTTATTCCTTTCTTGCCTTTAGCCTTGAAAACATACTTTGAAATTCTTTGTTTCCCTCCTTTCCCACTAGATACTGTCTTGCACTGCTGGCTTATCTATGTGCTTACTTAGAAGTTCCAGGGGCTAATCTTTATTTATTTATTTTTTAAAGATGGAGTCTGGCTCTGACACCCAGGTTGGAGTGCAGTGGCGCAGTCTTGGCTCACTTGCAACCTCCACCTCCTGGGTTCAAGCGATTCTCCTGCCTCAGCCTCCTGAGTAGCTGGGACTACAGGCACCTGCCACCATGCCCAGCTAATTTTTTTTTTTTTTTTTTGTAGAGTCAAGGTTTCACTATGTAAGCCAGGCTGGTCTTGAACTCTTGACCTCAAGTGAGCGACCCACCTTGGCCTCCCAAACTGTTGGGATTACAGGCGTAAGCCACCGCGCCTCGCCGCAGGGGCTAATCTTGAAACAAACTAGGTATGGAAACCCAGCTGCAAAACTCCAGAGATCACCTCAAGGCGATCAATCTACAACGTGGCCATTGTTGACTTGACACCAGCCCATGCTCCAGGTGGCCCGTGACTCAAGACAGCCTTCGGAGCAAGACACACATACCTTGTACCCAGCACCACTCCTGTATGCCTCCCATTCAAAGTTCCCCTTTTTAAGCCCCTCTCCCCAGCCTAAAGCTTGAAATGGTCTTCTAAAGACATTAGCTTGGCCATTTCTCATCTGCGAGCATTTGATCAGTAAAGCTGCTTTACTTTCACCACCCCCCACTTCCTCTGCCTCTGAGTAGCAGAAACTTGAGTTGGTTACATTATCGGTCTCTTCCCGCCTCCAGGTCTTTGTACAGGAGTCCCTTGTAACTAAAGTGGCCCTTTCCTTCACTTTGTTTTTTCTTTTCTTTTCTTTTTTTTGAGACCATGTCTTGCTCTGTCACCTAGGCTGCAGTGCAGTGGCGCCATCATAGCTCACGGCAGCCTCGATCACCTGGGCTCAAGCGATTCTCCCGCCTCAGCCTCCCGATAGCTGAGATGACAGGCACGCACCAGCACGCCCGGCTAATTTTTAAATTTTTCTGTAGAGACAGGGTCTCACTGTGTTGCTCAGGCTGGTCTCAAACTCCTGGGCTCAAGCGATCCTTTCGCCTGGGCCACCCAAAGTGCTGGGATTACAGGAGTGAGCCATGGCGTCTGGCTCTCCTCACTTCTTAGTAGCCCAGCATCTCCTCAGCCTTCAGCTCTCACGTTCCACCTCCCTGACCCACACGCCCCACTCTAGACTACAGGAGGTTGCTTTGTGATAACGTGTCCCGCACGCTCTGCGTGTCTACAGTAAGGCACTTCACACATTTGTGATTAATGAAGTAATTATTTGATAAAGCCTGTCTGCCAGGCATCAACCAAAGCTCTAAGAGGGTAGCGAACAATTTTTGCTCCTTCCACATCCCCAGGGCCACACCATGGTAGGCGCATATTAAGACTTTTGGGTAAACAGGCTGTAAAAGGCCGGGAGCGGTGGCTCATGCCTGTAATCCCAGCACTTTGGGAGGCCCAGGCGGGTGGATCATCTGAGGTCAGGAGTTGGAGACCAGCCTGGCCAACATAGTGAAACCCCGTCTCTACTAAAAATACAAAAAACTAGCCGGGCGTGGTGGTGCGCGCCTGTAATCCCAGCTACTCGGGAGGCTGAGGCAGGAGAATCGCTTGAATCCGGGAGGCGGAGGTTGCAGTGAACCGAGATCGCGCCACTGCACTCCAGCCTGGGCAACAAGAGCGAAACTCCGTCTCAGACAAAACAAACAAACAACTGGCCAGGCGCGGTGGATCATGCCTGTAATCACAGCACTTTGGGAGGCCGAGGCGGGCGGATCACGAGATCAGGAGTTCGAGACCAGCCTGACCAACATGGGGAAACCCCGTCTCTACTAAAAATACAAAAATTAGTCAGGGGTGGTGGCGGGCGCCTGTAATCCCAGCTACTCTGGAGGCTGAGGCAGAAGAATCGTTTGAACCCGGGAGACGGAGGTTGCAATGAGCCGAGATCGCGCCACTGCTCTCCAACCTGGGCAACAGAACGAGACTCCGTCTCAAAACAAACAAACAACAAAAAAACAAAAACCAAGCTGTAAAGACCCGCCTTTTTCCTCACACACTTCTTCTCCCAGACCCAGGAGCCCAGCCTCCCGCTCCCCGTGGTCTCCATCACACTCACCTCTCCTCTCCGCGCACCACTGTTTCTAGCGTTAGTCGCTCACCGATGACGTCTCACTCTCGCGCCGTTATAGAGGCAAAGCTACTCTCTGATTGGTCCCCGCTCGCGATGTTCCTGGCCGCATTTGAAACAACAACTTTATTAGCACCTGGCACTAGGCGGAGAGAGGCGGTAAGCCGCGAGGAGGAAAGGGACTCACGTCCCGCTGTGGACCGATCCTGCTAAGCAGAGAATCGCTGTGGCCGGACGACGGGGCGTCGAGACAAGAAGAAAGACGTTGGCAACTCAGAGGACTGGTTGCGGCGTTAGACAAGAAAGCAAGGCCTTTAAGCAGGGATTCGGGGTGGACGTGGGGGTGGGCCGAAGCGAAGCCGGAAACAGGAAACTACAACTCCCACAAGGCCTAGGGCCACGTCCCGCCGTCCTCGGCTGCTGAGCCTGATGGGACAAGTAGTTTTGCGAACGGCTTAACCTACAGATTGAAGAGGTCGGAAGCTCTGAGGCCCGGGGCTTCCGGAGGTCGCGGAGATGGAATTGGAGCAGAGAGAAGGGTATGTGGCTGAGCCCTTGTGAAAAAGTGCGAATCCCAGAAAACAGTGCAGCTGCATTGTGTGCAACCATATGAGCTTTTACGCTGAGGTCTGATGGGGGTTGTAGTTCATGCAACTGCTTTACCTTAGAACCCTTTTATGGACTGGGGTCATCCTGAGGGAGGAGAAGGTTAGGGGTTTGGACTGCTGGATCTGACAGACTAGGAGGTTGGAAGCCAGGACTCTTGCGTCTGGTTGAGGGTTGGGGCTTGGACTCCCTGGGTCCTTGGAGAGAAAAAGTCTGGAGGTCTGGACTCTTGCATCCTGGGAGGAGGGGGTCAGGGCTTGAACCCTGTGGGTGCTGCGAAGGGTGGGTTGCGGACTTGGACTTCTGGGTCTGAGGGAGGAGGGCTGGGAGCTGGATTCTACGGTCTGAGGGAGGAGGGGCTGGGGGCCTGGATTCTAGGATCTCAGGGAGGAGGGGTTGGGGTCTGGGCTCCTGGTTCAGTGGGAGAAGGGGCTGGGGGTCCAGGATCCAGGGCCCCTGAGCCTTTCCCTGCCTCTCAGGACCATGGCAGCCGTGGGCTTTGAGGAGTTCTCAGCGCCGCCAGGCTCAGAGTTGGCGTTGCCTCCCCTATTTGGTGGCCACATCCTGGAGAGCGAGCTGGAGACGGAAGTGGAGTTTGTGTCAGGTGGTCTGGGCGGCTCAGGGCTCCGGGAGCGAGATGAAGAGGAAGAGGCAGCCCGGGGTCGGCGGCGGCGCCAGCGGGAATTAAATCGCAGAAAGTACCAGGCACTAGGTCGGCGCTGCCGGGAGATCGAGCAGGTAGGTGAGTGCGGATCCCCCGGTTTTGGGGTCCCCTGGCCTAAACTACCGCCCCCCGCAATCTCTGCCTTTCCACATGCCCAGCCTTTCTTGGCTTGCTGATATATTCAGTCATTTAGCTTATATATTCAGTCATTTAGCATGCATTATGTGTCTGGCCCTGTGCCGGGCCCCTGGAAGGGCCATCTCCCGTGGAGCTTCCCTGACAACGCAGATGGGTTCTCTGATGTCTCCCGGGGGCCTCTCAATGCGTGGCACCGCTCACAGGTGAAAGCCCAAGCTCTTCACATCTCCCATACCCCTGCCAGGATTCACTCCTCTCGACTCATTCATTCCGCCTCTTGAGTGTCTCTGGACCCTTCTCCTCTCCTCCATCCCTATGGCTGCCATTGCAAACTCCAGCTGTCTGGGCTGAATGACTGCAATAGCCTCCTTGCTGAGAATAAGGATGGGCTGGGCATGGTGGCTCACGCTTGTAATCCTAGCACTGGGAGGCTGAGGCAGGCGGATCACCTGAGGTTAGGAGTTCGAGACCAGCCTGGCCAACATGGTGAAACCCCATCTCTACTAAAATACAAAAAAATTAGCCAGGTGTGGTGGTGCGCACCTGTAGTCGCAGCTACTAGGGAGGCTGAGGCATGAGAATTGCTTGAACCCGGAAGGCGGAGGTTGCAGTGAGCCAAGATCATGCTGCTGTACTCCAGCCTGGGTGACAGAGTGAGACTCCGTCTCAAAATCAATCAATCAATCAATGAGGATTAAACAGCAGGCAGGGCTCAGATCTTGGCAGGCCAGGAACACCAGGACAAGAAGTCTGGATATTTTTTTTTCCTTGAGAGTGAAGGAGCCACTGAAGGGTTTCAAATGGGGGAGGAACAGCATCAGGTCTGGATGCCTGAAACTCTGAAGACAGTTGTATTAGTCTGCTTGGACTCCCAGAACTTATCACAAATAGGGTCCCTCAAGCACAGAAATTCCTGTCTGACAGTTCTGGAGGCTAGACATCCAAGGCAAGGTGTCGACAGGGTTGTGAGAATCTTCCAGGCCTCTCCCCTGGCTTCTGGAGGTTTCTGGCAGTCATTGGCACGTACAAACATCACCCTGATCTCCGCCTTCATCTTCACATTGCTGCTCCCTGTGTGTGTGTCTGTGTCCCAATTTACCCTTTTTATAAGGACTCCAGTCATACTGGATTAGGGCCCACCCACTGGCTTCATTTGAACTTGATTACTTTTGTAACGACACTGTCTCCATATAAGGTGATCCTGAGGTACTGGGGGTTAAAGCCTCAACACCCTCTTTTGGGGGAAATAATTCAACTTTTTTTTTTTTTTTTTTTTTTTTTTTGAGGTGGAGTCTCGCTCTTGTCTCCCAGGCTGGAGTGCAATGGCACCATCTCAGCTCACTGTAACCTCCACCTCCTGGGTTCAAGTGATTCTCCTGACTCAGCCTCCCTAGTAGCTGGGATTACAGGCGCCCGCCACCACACCCAGCTAATTTTTCTATTTTTAGTAGAGACAGGGTTTCACCATGTTGGTCAGGCTGGTCTCAAACTCCTGACCTCAGGTGATCTGCCCACCTCAGCCTCCCAAGGTGCTGGGATTACAGGCTTGAGCCACCACGCCTGGCCTTCAACTCTTTTTCTCTTTCTTGAGACAGGTTCTCACTTTGTCACCAAAGCTGGAGTGCAGTGGCGCAATCTCAGCTCATTGCAGCCTCAGTCTCCCAGGTTCAAGCAGTCCTCCTGCCTCAGCCCCCAAAATAGCTGGGACTACAGGCACACACCACCACACCTGGCTAATTTTTGTACTTTTTGTAGAGATGGGGTTTTGCCATGTTGCCCAGGCTGGTCTTGAACTCCTGACCTCAAGTGATCCACTCGCCTTGACCTCCCAAAATGCTAGGATTACAGGCATGAGCCACCACATCTGGCCTCAATTCTTAATGACAGTATTGGGGAGTTCTGTAAGGAGGAAGGCTAGAGGCCAGGGGCATATTCCAAACCCTGTTTAACAGACAGACACCAAGGCCCAAACGGACTCAACTGGAGCCTCTGCCATTAATCCACCCCCAGGAATAGATTACTACTATTTTACAAGTATAGAAAATCAAGGCTCAGAGAGGTTAAGTAATGCACCCAAGCTCAGAGCTCAGCAGTGGCAGATCTGAGATTTTTTTTTTTTTTTGAGACAGGGTCTTTCTCTGTTGCCCAGGCTGGAGTGCAGTGGCATGACTGTGGCTCACTGCAGCCCCAACATCCTGGACTCTAGCAATCTCAGCCTCCGAAGGAGCTGGGACTACAGCCACCAAGCCCAGCTAATTTTTTTGGTTAGTTTTTGAGTGTTGGGGTCTCACTCTGTTGCCCAGGCTGGTGTCGAACTCCTGGCCTCTCAAAGTGCTGGGATTATAGGCATGAGCCACTGTGCCAAGCCAGAGCCAAAACTTGAACTCTTTTTTTTTAGATGGATTTTCGCTCTTGTTGTCCAGGCTGGAGTGCAATGCTGCAATCTCAGCTCACTGCAACCTCCGCCTCCTGGGTTCAAGCGATTCTCCTGCCTCAGCCTCCCGAGTAGCTGGGATTACAGGCATGCGCCACTACACCTGGCTAATTTTGTATTTTTAGTAGAGACAGGGTTTCACCACGTTAGGCTGGTCTCAAACTCCTGACCTCAGGTGATCCGCTCGCCTTGGCCTCTGAAAGTGCTGGGATTACAAGCGTGAGCCACCGTGCCTGGCACTTTTTTTTTTTTTTTTCTTTTGAGACAGAGTCTTACTCTGTCACCCAGGCTGGAGGGCAGTGGTGTGATCTCGGCTCACTGCAACCTCCAGCTCCTGGGTTCAAGCGATTCTCCTGCCTCAGCCTCCTGAGAAACTGGGATTACAGGCATGCGCCACCATACCCAGCTAATTTTTGTATTTTTCTTTTTTTTTTTTTTTTTTTAGTAGAGATGAGGTCTCATCATGTTGGCCGGGCTGGTCTGGAACTCCCGACCTCAAACTCTTGAGTAGCTGAGATTACAGGCATGTGCCACAACATCCGGCCAATTTTTGTATCTTTAGTAGAGACGGGGTTTCACCATGTTGGCCAGGCTGGTCTTGAACTCCTGACCTCAAGTGATCTGCCCGCCCCGGCCTCCCAAAGTGCTGGGATTACAGGCGTGAGCCACTGTGCCCCGCCCGGAACTCAGGTCTTTCTGACCCAGGAGCAGCACCTGCTTCAGCCACTGTCTTTGGGTCCCTGTTTGGCTGAGTCACATCTCTCCCTCCATGTCTAGGCTGGAGTCCTCAGAAGCTGCGTGCAGGGCTGTCCCCTCAGCCTGGCATACTTTCCTCCTGTCACCCCTTTGTCTCCTCCTTATTCAAGTCTGGGCCCACGGGCCTTCTCTGCAGGTCGTAACTAAAGTCGCACCTCCTGCCCTAACCTCCAGCATGTCTGACTCTTTGGTATTCACCAAGCACTTCTCACTTTGCAAAGTCATTGATTCTGCAAATGTTCATGGAGGATGTACTACGTGCCAGGCTCTGGTTAAGGCACGGGATGTAGAAACAAGTTGCTGTCGTTTTTCAGCTCATGCTCTGGCTGGAGAGGCGGTCAGTCAGCAGAATAAGCAAAGAGGCGGAGAGGCTGCGTCCTGCCTCCTCAGATGAGCACTAGGAGGAAATAAAGCCAGGAGTGAATGGCCGGGTGGGGTTCTGGCATGGGAAGGGGGGTCGGGTGTGTTGCAATTTTTTTTTTTGAAACAGAACCTCGCTCTGTTGCCCAGGCTGGAGTGCAGTGGGGTGATCTCAACTCACTTCACCCCTCCACCTCCCAGGTTCGTGCGACTATCCTGCAGGCACCTGCCACCACGCCCAGCTAATTTTTTGTATTTTTAGTAGAGATGGGGTTTCATCATGTTGGCCAGGCTGGTCTCGAACTCCTGACCTCAGGGGACCTACTCGCCTCGGCCTCCCAAAGTGCTGGGATTACAGGCGTGAGCCACCGCACCTGGCCTGGTGTGTTTCGACTTAATGGGAGGTTCAGGCTCTCTGAGCAGGTAACAGTTGACCTAAGACTTGGAGTGGGGAGTAAGTTGTGCGGATGACTGGGGAGAGGGTCCAGGTAGAGGAACAGCACGCGGAAGGCCCCCACTGGAGGGCACTCAGGACTGTGGCATGGTGAGAGGGGAGCCGGAGGGATGGGAAGGTGGAAGGACCTCAGGCCACGGGATGGTCTTTGGCCAGTCTCCAGAGTTTAGTGCGTGCCCCATTAAACATCCGTTAAACAAATGAACGGGAGCCGTGGGATCCAGCTGATGGGCGTTTCCCACCCCATAGGTGAACGAGCGGGTCCTGAACAGGCTCCATCAGGTGCAGAGGATAACTCGGAGGCTGCAGCAGGAACGGAGGTAACCCCTTCTCCGTCCCCTCTGGGCCTGTGAGCCTCAGCTCCCAAATGCTCCCAGCCCCTCTGTCTCTCCCACTTCCACATCCACCCAACCCTCACAAGCCACAAGGAGAAGCCGGAGATGAGGGCCGGGGGCTGAGGCAAACAAGGAGGAAGAGTGGGATTCGGTGTTGGAGGAGAGGGCTGAGCACTGGGACTGAGGGAGGGCCGGGTGGAGAGGGCTGAGCACTGGGACTGAGGGAGGGCCGGGTGGAAGGGGCTGTGCGCTGGGACTGAGGGAGGGCCGGGTGGAGAGGGCTGAGCACTGGGACTGAGGGAGGGCCGGGTGGAGGGCCTCCTCCCCCTGAAGGGAGGGAACAGCAGGATGGAAGGCACACGAGCACAGACCTGACTGCAAGTATTTTCTTTTTTTTTTGCTGTGTGACTCTAAGCAAGCAGTGTCCCTTCTCTGAGCTGTTTCCTATCAACTAAGGGCAGCACCAATATCATGAGGCTGCGGCAGGGTTGTCGGAGCTTGCAGGTGGTGAGCTGAGCTCAGAGCTTCCCACTGTGTGTCTCCACAGAACCTGCCCAGGTGGCTGCTGCCCCTGCCACTCGCAGTGTCCCTGTACCAGCAAAACTGGAGCAAGTTTTGTAGGAATGGCTCCACGTTGCTGAGTCAACCACAGTTCTCATCTCAGTCCTTGGCTCAGGCTCGGCACAGTGGCCCAGGGCTATGTGCTCTTCCCTGGAGCCCATTCTTGCCATCCTGGGCACCCAGCAACCTGGGGTCTCCTGCCTTTCCGGCTGTTCCTTCTTGGCTGCCTTTGCTAGTTCATCCTCCCTCCCCAAAGCTGAAACCTGCGGCTCCCAGGGTTCCTCTGTCCGTACCTGTGCTGTCCAGCACGGTAGCCGCTGGCCACAGGTGAGATTTTCACTTAAGTTGAAATAGGCCGGGCGCAGTGGCTCATCATGCCTGTAATCCCAGCACTTTGGGAGGCCGAGGCAGGCGGATCACGAGGTCAGGAGATCGGGACCATCCTGGCTAACACGGTGAAACTCCGTCTCTACTAAAAATACAAAAAAATTAGCCGGGTGTAGTGGCAGGCGCCTGTAGTCCCAGCTACTCGGGAGGCTGAGGCAGGAGAATCGCTGGTACCAGGGAGGTGGAGGTTGTGGTGAGCCAAATTCACGCCACTGCACTCCAGCCTGGGTGACAGAGTGAGATTCCGTCGCAAAACAACAACAACAAACCTGCCCAGGTGCTGGTGCAGAGGAGGCATTCCATCAATTGAACCTTAAGGAACTCTGGAGGCAGGGGCTGGGGAAAAAAGAGAAGGGGGTGTTTATAAGAGGTGAGGTCATTAGGAGGAGCGTTCTGTACTCCCCTCTCTTCAGTTATCAATAAAAATTATAACTCACATATGAATGTTTACTAAGTGCTGACATCACATTAAGTACAGAAATCGTCTGGTGTCACTACTTCAGTGTCACCGCTGCAACATCCAGCCGAGGGTGTCATGTCGTTTGCAGAGCAGGAAACTCAGCCTCAGAATGGTTGCCTTGTCTTGCTCGAGGTCTCAAGGCTGGTCAAGGGCATGGCTCCCAGGCCTCCAGTGCCAGAGCTCAGGACCGTCTGGCTCCAGGACAGCTTTGGCGTTGAGTGGAGTGGGAGCTGAGCTCTATCCTGTGGCCCTTTTCCCCAGCCGCTAGGAGATAAGTTATTCCGTTGGTGGCTTCTCCCCCTGAGCAGGTTCCTCATGAGAGTGCTGGACTCCTACGGGGATGACTACCGGGCCAGCCAGTTCACCATTGTGCTGGAGGTGAGTGTTGGGCCTCCAGGAGGGTCAGGAACTGGGAGCTCAGGACCCACCCATCACCTACCTCCCCCTCCTGCCTGCCAGGATGAGGGCAGCCAGGGCACGGATGCCCCCACCCCAGGCAATGCGGAGAATGAGCCTCCAGAGAAAGAGACACTGTCCCCGCCCAGAAGGACTCCTGCACCCCCAGAACCCGGCAGCCCAGCCCCCGGTGAGGGGCCCAGTGGGCGGAAGAGGCGGCGAGTGCCACGGGATGGACGCCGAGCAGGAAATGCGCTGACTCCAGAGCTGGCCCCGGTGCAGGTGAGGAAGGCGGGAACTCAAGGGGAGGGACTGGGGCTCCAGAGCCGGCGCCAGTGCAGGTAAGGAGGGGGGACTCAAGGGGAGGGGCCAGGGCTGGGGCTGAGTTAGGTTCAGGGCTCTTGGGTTTTGGTTCTGCACCCCGAGGGGCCCAGGGCTGGGGAAAGTTGGAGAAGGGAGGTGAACCAGGACATGTTGGAGGCCTAGGATCAGGCAGGGAAGTAGTTGGAAAAAGTGGGGTAAAGGCTTGGGTAAAAAGGAGGCAAAGTTGGAAAGGGAAAGAGGAAGACCTGGAGAAGGAAAAATAGCTAGAGAAGGCTGGGAGTAGAGGAGAAGGAAGGATCAGAGAAGACGGAGTGGAAGGGAAGGCCCAGTGTGGGGAGGAAAGCTGGAAGAACATCTGGACCCAGGAACACTGGGATTGCCTCTGAGGTGTAAGGAGGAAGGTGACTGGCCTGGGCAGACAAGAACTGTGAGGCTGGCCAGGTGCAGTGGCTCATGCCTGTAATCCCGGCACTTTGGGAGGCCTAGGTGGGAGGATCACTTGAGGCCAGGAGTCTGAGACCTGCCTGAGCAACATACTGAGACCCCATCTCTACCAAAAAGAAAAAACATGTTAGGCTTGGTTGGCAAGTGCCTGTAGTCCCAGCTACTTGGGAAGCTGAGGTGGGAGGATCACTTGAGCCTGGGAGGCAGAGGCTGCAGTGAACTATGATGGCACCACTGCACTCCAGCCTGGGCAACAGAGTGAGACCCTGTCTCTTTAAAAAGCAAAACAAAATGAAAACAAAAATGGTGAAGCTGATGGGATTTTCTAGATTCCCAGGCCTGTTAACACCTTGTTCCTTATCTCCTGCAGATTAAGGTTGAGGAAGACTTTGGCTTTGAAGCAGATGAGGCCCTGGATTCCAGTTGGGTTTCTCGGGGTCCAGACAAACTGCTGCCCTACCCGACCCTGGCCAGCCCAGCCTCTGACTGACGCATGCCCAATAAACTGACCCCACACTCACCCCGGCCACCGTCTACTTGTTCCCACCTCTGATCACACACATGCTCACGTTCGGGGGTTGGTTTTCACATTTTTATTGGGAGCCGTGGGAGGGGCCGCCTCTGTCAGTGGAGGTGCTCACAGTTTCTTCAGCCACTCCAGGCTGGGGCCCTGAGGGTCCTGGGGGTGGCTGGGCACGTCGGGCATGTTCCCATCATCACGGACGGGCACTGTGGGGCAGGAGGTGGGCCACTGAGACCAGCACGTCTCCAGGGCCCTGGAGAGAAGAGCTGGTCTGTCGCTTTATGTTCAGAGAGGGAAGGGGGACCCCAGGGGTGAGAGGGGAAGGGTCAGAGAATCAGTGATGCAGAAAGAGGCGGGAAATACAGAGACTGAGAGACACGGAAAACCAGAGAGATAGCGAGGGAGAGATCCCGCGCACTAGAGAGCTAGGGTCAAAAGAGATGGGGAAACAGGACAGAAACCTGAGAAGATGGAGACCAAGAAACCACCACAGATGGGAACCCAGAGAGAGACAGAAATCTGGAAAGGTAATAGAAACTCGAAGCACAGGCCAGGCGCGGTGGCTCACACCTGTAATCCCAGCACTTTGGGAGGCCGAGGTGAGTGGATCACAAGGTCAGGAGATCGAGACAATCCTGGCTAACACGGTGAAACCCCGCCTCTACTAAAAAAATACGAAAAAGTTTGCGTGTCGTGGTGGCGGGCACCTGTAGTCCCAGCTACTCGGGAGGCTGAGCTTGCAGTGAGCTGAGATCGCGCCACTGCACTCCAGCCTTGGCGACAGAGCGAGACTCTGTCTCAAAAAAACCCAAAAAAACAAAAACGAAGCACAAACACAGAATAGTATACGAATTATATCTCAATTCTTAAAAAATGGAACGGGGGGTCCGGGCACCACTGCAGAATCTCTGATAACTGCTTAGGAAAGACCTGCCCATAACTGCCCTTACGCCAGCACAGGGAGGCTGGGCCTATTCCGGGGATCCCTGCCTGGCCCCCACTCACCTGGGTAGTTGTAGGGCGTGGCCTTGTTGATCATGACGGAGTACTTGAAGTAGGGGCTCAATGGGGGCAGAATTACAGCTGTGGAGAGACACAGGGGTGAGGCCCAGGGGAAGGTGGCTCTGAAGAGAGGGGAAGAGAAGGTGAGCCTTGGCAAAGGGAAGATAAAGTGCGCAGGGGGAGGGCAGCAGGGAGGGCCAGCACGTCCAGGAGGATCCTTGGTACCTTGGGATCCCTACTTATAGACAGGAGGGTTTAAAACTCTTTTTTGGGGGGTTAAGTGGAGGTAGGGGTTGGAGCCTAACACTCACAGATACGTGGGGCCTGGAGGAGGCAGCAGTGGGGTTGGTCATGGAATGAGCACGTTTGAGTGTAGGGTCATCATGGAGCATCCTGGGGGTAGTGTCATGGGACTGTTCTGGAGAAATCAAGACTGTTACAAATTTGGCCGGGCACAGTGGCTCAAGCCTGTAATCCCAGCACTTTGGGCGGCCAATGTGGGCGGATCACCTGAGGTCAGGAGTTCGCGACCAGCCTGGACAACATGATGAAACCCCATCTCTACTAAAGATACGAAAATTAGCCGGGCGTGGTGGCAGGAGCCTGTAATCCCAGCTACTCAGGAGGCTGAGGCAGAAGAATCCCTTGAGCCTGGGAGGCAGAGGTTGCAGTGAGCCCAGATTGTGCCATTGCACTCCAGCCTGGGCAACAGAGAGAGACTCCATCACCAAAAAAAAAAAAAAAAAAAAGCCTTACAAACTGGAGGAGAAAGGGTTGCACAAACAACAGTCACTGACCACAGTCCATTTAGGGTGGGAGCCAGGAGTCCTGGGGGATGGGGTACAGTTCATAAAAGGAATGTTCTAGGCCAGTGCTGTCTGACAGATGGTAAGAGCCAGGTATATAATTTTATATCTTCTAGTAGCTACAGTAAAAATAAGAGATACAGATGAAACAAATTTTAAGAAACATACTTGGATGGGCGAGGTGGCTCATGCCTATAATCCCAGGACTTTAGGAGGCTGAGACGGGTGGATCACCTGAGGTCAGGAGTTCGAGACCAGCCTGACCAATATGATGAAACCCCGTCTCTACTGAAAATACAAAAACAGCCAGGTGTAGTGGCATGCGCCTGTAATCCCAGCTACTAAGGAGGCTGAGACAGGAGAATCGCTTGAACCCGGGAGGCGGAGGTTGCAGTGAGCCGAGATCAGGCCATTGCACTCTAGCCTGGACAAAAGCGAAACTCCGTCTCAAAAAAACAAAAACAAACAAACAAAAAAAACCATAGTACATCCAAAACATCACTTCGCCATGTAATCAACAAAAGATTATTGGTAGTTTACACACTCTGTTATACTAAGTTTTTGAAATCCAGTGTCTTATACCACCTCAATTCATACCAGCACCACTTCAAATGCTCAGTGGCCAGTTGTGGCTGGTGGCTGCCATACTGAATAAGTGTTCAGAACCTTAACCTAGTGCCTGGCTGGTGGACCAGCAGTACTGACAAGACCTGGGAACTCTTCAAAAATGCAGAATCCCATGCCCCACCCCAGACCTACAGAATCAGAACCTACAGTTTGGCCGGGCGCAGTGGCTCACCCCTGTAATCCCAGCACTTTGGGAAGGCAGATCACTTGCGGTCAGGAGTTCAAGACCAGCCTGGCCAACATGGTGAAACCTTGTCTCTACTAAAAATACAAAAATTAGCCGGGCGTGGTGGTGCTCGCCTGTAATCCCAGCTACTTGGGAGGCGGAGGCAGGAGAATCACTTGAACCCTAGAGGCGGAGGTTGCAGTGAGCCATGATCAAACCATTGCACTGTAGCCTGGAAGACAGAGCGAGACGCCATCTCAAAAAAAAAAAAAAAAAAAAGCTGGCCGGGCGCGGTGGCTCACGCCTGTAATCCCAGCACTTTGGGAGACCGAGTTGGGAGGATCACGAGGTTAGGAGATCGAGACCATCCTGGCTAACACGGTGAAACCCCGTCTCTATTGAACATACAAAAAATTAGCCGGGCATGGGGGCGGGCGCCTGTAGTCCCAGCTACTCGGGAGGCTGAGGCAGGAGAATGGCGTGAACCCGGAAGGCGGGGCTTGCACTGAACCGAGATCGCGCCACTGCACTCCAGCCTGGGCGACAGAGCGAGACTCAGTCTCAAAAACAAAAACAAAAAATTAGCTGGGCGCCTGTAATCCCAGCTACTCGGGAGGCTGAGGCAGGAGAATCCCTTGAACCCAGGAGGCCGAGGTTGCAGTGAGCCGGGATCGCGCCACTGCACTTCAGCCTGGGTGAGAGTGAGACTCCATCGCAAAAAAAAAAGCTACATTTTAACAATCCCCCGCCCCCATCCCTGCAGGAACTCCGGTGCTAATTAAAGTGTGAGTAGGGCAGTTCCAGGGCAGAGGGCAGAGATTTTCAATCAGCAAGGCACATTGGGATCATACGGGGATTTTCACAAGACACAGATTCCCCAGTCCCACCTCCACCCAAGCCAACTCAATTCAGAATGGGGGAGAGGAAAGATGAAAAGGAGGAGGAGGATCTGGACTTTTTTTTGGTGCTCAGGTGTTAAGGCATAAGCAGGGTTGAGAACGTCTCATTTAGAGGGGTTAAGAGCGTATTGGGTAGGTGGAGAGGAACGCGGGGGGCGATGGTGGAGAGGTTATAATGGGTATGGGGATAGATAAGGGGATGCCGTGGGGGTGCAGACACACTAGAGGGGACCCGAGGGCGGCGATAGGGCTTTAGGGGTACAAGATGGAGGGATGTAGGGGGACGGGGGTGGACGATGCAAGTTTGCGCCTGGAGCACTCACGCACCGAGGCCCCCGACGACGAAGGACACGACCAGCACTGGCTCCTTGTCCCAGGCATTCTTGAGGAAGGCGCCGACTCCTGAAGGGGTGGCAAGAAGCGTCACCCCTGCAAGTAGCTGCCCCCGGTGACCTCTAACCCTCTCGTGCCACCCCTGCCCTGGAGGAGCCCCCTCGTGACTTCTGCGTTCCCCTCCAGCACGGACCCCATCGCTTCCACCCCTGCCCTGCCGCACCTCAGTCCCAGGACCGCCCAGAGGTTCCCAGAACTACCCGAGCCCCGTGCGCCACCGGAACCTGCACTTACTCGCAGCCATCTTTGTCTCCGCGGCGGCGACAGCGGCGAGGACGCGGAGCACCCTGGGAGTTGTGGTCCCTATGCGCGAGAACCCGCTCCCAGGGCTGCGCGTGCGCCCTGGAGCACAAGTAGAGGCGAAAGCAAGGACGCGGAGCACTCTGGGAGTTGTGGTCCCTCTGTGCGACGGCCCGCTTTCGGAGCCTGCGCGTGCGCACTCGCGCAGAACAAAGATGGAGCCGTGGAGGTAAAGGAAGTGGTGTCAGGAGCAAGCGCAAGCCTGACTTTGCGGACCTGCGTGGAATCTCCTTAGTCTCAGCCTAGAAGTCGCTCCGGAGTGACTAGTCCTCCTGCTGCGACCCACCTAAGGCGGAACAAAATAGTCCCCATTTTATAGTTTATGTATGAAAGCCCATTTTACAGACGAAGAAACTGAGCCCGGGAGAAGGTGAATGACTAACCTGTCCTTCGAGGTCTCAGCTCAACATCGGCTCGTCCTGGAAGCGCTAGGTCTCATCCCAGATGGGTTAGGAGCTTTCTGCGGGCTCTCACAGTGCTCTGTTACCGCCATTATAGCTCAGATCACTTAAGAAACTGACCTGGTCTGGGCCGGGCGCGGTGGCTCACGCCTGTAATCCCAGCACTTTGGGAGGCCGAGGCGGGCGGATCACGAGGTCAGGAGATCTAGACCATCCTGGCTAACATGGTGAAACCCTGTCTCTACTTAAAAATACAACACAAATTAGCCGGGCGTGGTGGTGGGCGCCCGTAGTCCCAGCTACTGGGGAGGCTAAGGCAGGAGAATGGCGTGAACCCGGGAGGCGGAGCTTGCAGTGAGCCGAGATCACACCACTGCACTCCAGCCTGGGCGACAGAGCGAGACTCCGTCTCAAAAAAAAAGGAAACTGACCTGGTCTTGGTCTTTCAGTCGGACTGGTAGCTGCTGCTTGAGAGCAGTAACGGAGTCTGAGTTCCCTCTGTGCCTGCCAACATGGCACAGCGAGGGTCTGGCACGTAATAGGTTCTAATTTTTTTTTTTTTCTTCTGAGATTGAGTCTAGCTCTGTCGCCCAGGCTGGAGTGCAATGGCGCGATCTCGGCTCACAGCAACCTCCGACTCCCGAGTTCAAGCGATTCTCCTGCCTCAGCCTCCTGAATAGCTGGGATTACAGGCGCGCGCCTCCACAGCCGGCTAATTTTTCTTTTTTAGGAGAGACGGGGGTTTCTCCATGTTGGTCAGGCTGGTCTCGAACTTCCCGATCTCAGGTGATCCACCCGCCTTGGCCTCCCAAAGTGCTGGGATTACAGGCGTGAACAACCGCGCCCGGCCTAGAGGGGCTAATTTTTATCTATCTATCTATCTATCTATCTATCTATCTATCTATCTAACACAGTATCACACCAAGAGCCTGGCACATAATAGGTGCTAATTTTTCTCTGTCAACCAATCTATCAATCGATCAATTAATCACAGCAAGGGCCTGGCACATAATTGGTGTTAATTTTTATCTATCCATCAATCAATCACAGCAAGGGCCTGGCACTTAACAGGTGCTAATTTTTATCTATCTATCTATCTATCTATCTATCTATCCATCCATCCATCTATCTATCTTTCAATCACAGCAAGGGCCTGGCACATAATAGGTGCAAATTTTTATCTATCTGTCAATCAATGACAGCAAGAGTCTGGCACATAATAGGTTCTTATTTTTAAAACAGACAGATATCTTTCTATCTGTCTATCTATATTTAAAGACATGGTCTCACTCTATCACCCAGGCTGGAGTGCAGTGGCACAATTTATTTATTTTTTAGACAGGGTCTCGCTCTGTTGCCCAGGCTGCTCTTGAACTCTTGGGCTCAAGCGATCCTCCTGCCTCCACCTCCTGACTAGTATTTGTTTCTAGAGTTAAATAAATGAACACCACAGGTTATGACTGAACCCCCTGCTAATTTTTCCACAGTGCCATAGGGCTATGACACAGTCACCCACAGGCCCCCACCTCGATACTCTCTTCCGTAAATGAGGATCTGGGTCTGGTTTTCTGATGTTGCCTCATTTCCTGGGAGGGGAGAGGGTGCGACCAAGCCCTGGCTCCAGCTCTAGCGGGTATCTGCCCACCATGGCCCTGGTGCTGATCCTCCAGCTGCTGACCCTCTGTGAGTCACCCCTTTCTTCTCCCTGGGTTCCTGGCTGGGGTTGGGGGCAGAGAGAGAGGCAATGGAGACCCAGACACCCTGCAGGGGGACCAGGCAGCAGGTTTGGGATTCTAGGTTCAAATAAAGAACAGGGCTGGGGCCCAGACCCCTGGGTCCTAAAGCAAGAGAACACAGATTCCCGAAAGAGGAAGGAGGTGGGGACAGGTATCTCTGGTTCTTGAGGCAGGAAGAGGTCAGGAGACAGGGAGGACTCCCAGATTCTTATATGGGAGGGGGATGGAAGCCAGGACTCCTGATTCCCTGGGAAAAGGGGGCTGGGAACAGGGCTCTTAGCTCCTGAGAGAAGAGGGAAATGGGGACCCAGATTCCTGAACTCGTGAGAGGAGAAACTCTACGATCATTGTTCCCTGGAAAGGTGGAGTTCAAGGGCCTGAACTCTTGGTTGCCCAGGCCAGAGGGGTCTGCGTTCAGACTTCTTCGGTAGGTGGGCAATGGATGTCCAAATTTCTGCCTACTGAGACAGGAGGAGGGAGGGATAAGATTCTCATTTCCCAGAGGAGATAGGAGCTGGGAACTCAGATTCCTGGGTTACCAATGAGATGGGGCTGGCCACAAAGGGTTTTGAAAAGAACTCGCTGTTGGGCGCAGCGGCTCATGCCTGTGGGAGCCGAGGCCCAGCACTTTGGGAGGCCGAGGCGGGTGGATCACCTGAGGACAGGAGTTCAAGACCAGCCTGACCAACATGGCGAAACCCCTCTCTACTAAAAATACAAAGATTAGCCTGGTGTGGTGGCGGGCACTTGTAGTCCCAGCTACTACGGAGGCTGAGGCAGGAGAATCACTTGAACCTGGGAGGCAGAGGTTGCAGTGAGCTGAGATCACACCACTACACTCCAGCCTGGGCGACAGAGTGAGAGTCTGCCTCAGACAAAAAAAAAAAAAGGAAAAAGAAACTAGTCCCTCAACCTCCTACAGGGCCTCTGTGTCACACAGACATCACTCCGTCTGGTGAGTAGCCACCCCATCCACTCTCCTTTTGTTGCTGACACCCCTTTTCCAATTACTCAGATTTTATTTTGGTGCCCAATCCCATCCCAGATATCCTTATTTTCCTCCCTCCCTCCATTCCTTCCTTCTTTTCTCATTCCCCTTAGTGGCCATTATAGGTGAGTACTGAAGACCAGGAACTTCTGAGGCAGAGGCCTAAGCTAGGACCTCAGTTTCACCATCGTATTCATTTATATGTGACCATATGACCTAGAACAAGTCACAGCTTGCTAAGACTCCATTTCCTTCTCTGTAAAATGGGCCGCTGTGAGATCTCATCAAATCACATGTGCAAAACCCTGAGCCTGGCACAGTACAGGGCTTAAGAAATAGGATCTTGGGCTGGGCGCAATGGCCAACGTCTGTAATCCCAGCACTTTGGGAGGCAGAGGCGGGCGGATCACAAGGTCAGATCGAGATCATCCTGGCTAATGTGGTGAAACCCCGTCTCTACTAAAAAAAAAAAAAAAAAAAAAAAAAAATTAGCCGGGTGTGGTGGGACGCACCTGTAATCCCAGCTACTCAGGAGGCTGAGGCAAGAGAATCGCTTGAACCCAGGAGGCAGAGGTTGCAGTAAGCTGAGATCGCGCCACTGCACTCCAGCCTGGGTGACAGTGCAAGACTCCACTTCAAAAACAAACAAACAAACAAACAAACAAAAACTCTTTTGGAGATATTTCAGTGTCGCTATAGCTATCTCTACCTATTTATTTTATTTATTTATTTATTTATTTTGAGACCAGTTTCTCTCTGTCGCCCAGGCCGGAGTGCAGTGGTGCAATCTCGGCTCACTGCAACCACCTCCTGGGTTCAAGGGATTCTCCTGCCTCAGCCTCCTGAGTAGCTGGGACTACAGGCACACACCACAATGCCCGGATAATTTTTGTATTTTTAGTAGAGACAGGGTTTCCCCATGTTGGTCAGGCTGGTCTGGAACTCCTGACCTCAGGTGATCCCTCTGCCTCAGCCTCCCAAAGTGTTGGGATTACAAACATGAGCCCCCTCACCCGACCCTTATTTTTATTCATTTTTAGAGATGGGGTCTCATTGTGTCACCCGGGCTGGAGTACGGTGGCTCTATCATAGCTCACTGCAGCTTTGAATTCCTGGGCTCAGACAATCCTCCAGCCTCAGCCTCCCAAAGTGCATGCCACCATGGAGTTCTCACTCTGTTGCCCAGGCTGGAGTGCAGTGGCATGATCTCAGCTAACTGCAGCCTCCGACTCTAGGGTTCAAGTAATTCTCCTACTCAGCATCCCAAACAGCTGGAACTACAAGCTAGCACTACCACGCCTGGCTAATTTTTCTGTTTTTAGTAGAGATGGGATTTTACCATGTTGGTCAGGCTGGTCTTGAACTCCTGACCTCAGGTGATGCACCCACCTTGGCCTCCCAAAGTGCTGGGATTACAGCTGTGAGCCACCGGACCCAACAGCCTTCCTGTACTCTTAATTTGTGTGATTTGTGAATAAGTGATATCTGCCAGTACTATCATTTGTCCTCCAGTTTTGTCTTTTAGCATACACAACTTAAGAAATTTGAAGTGGTCAAATTAATTAATCTTCCATACAACTTTTTATTTTATATTTTAAGAAGCCTTCCTTACCCCAAGACAAATATATTTTCCTATAGTTTTTTGAATACTTTTATAGTTTAAAAAAAAAGAAACACAGGGTCTTTAATTAATCTGGAAGTTGTTTTGGGAAATGGTATGAGGTAGGGATCCAACATTTTTCTTTTCCAAATAGCAAGTTTTGGCAACTCTTGAAATACTATATTGCAAATATTCTGGAAAGCTATTTAAAATTAGAGTTCTGGCTGGGCGTGGTGGCTCACACCTGTAATCCCAGCACTTTGGGAGGCCGAGGTGGGAGGATTGCTCGAGCCCAAGAGTTCAAGAGTAGCCTGGGCAATATAGCGAATGCTCGTCTCTACTAAAAATTAAAAAAAAAAAATTAGCCTGGTGTAGTGGCATGTGCCTGTGGTCCCAGGTACTCAGGAGGCTGAGGTGGAGGACTGTTTGAGCCCAAGAGATTGAGGCTGCAGTGAGTTGAGAACATGCCACTGCACTCCTGCCTGAGCAACACAGCAAGACCCTGCCTCAAAAAAAAAAAAAAAAAAAAAAAAAGTCTGGGTGTGGTGGCACAAGCTTGTAAACTTAGCACTTTGGGAGGCCGAGGTGGGAGGATTGCTTGAGGCCAGTAGTTTAAGACCAACCTGCTCAACATAGGGAGACCGCCCCCTCCCATCTCATTACTTAAAAATAATAATAATAATAAAATTACAGAGTTCTGGGACCTGACCTTTTGAAACTGTGTTTACAAACTGTGGAGTAAAGCTCAGAAGTTTCTGTCCTGCCCCTCTGATTTGCACCTGGTTTTAACAAGGCTTGATTGTAGTCCAGTCTCTCCCTGATTTTACAAACAGGAAACTGAGGCTAAGAAAGGGGCAGTAATTGTCCAAGGTGATTTTCCTCCTTCCCCAACTTCCCTTTCATCTTCTGGGGCTCCCAGGAGGCCCGAGGACCCAGGCAGCCCCGTTTATTCAGTCCCCCCAGCTTCATACCACCCTAAGCCATGGCTGGGAGCTCAGCCGGCTACAGTTGTGACCCCTGGGGTCAACGTGACCTTGAGATGCCGGGCACCCCAACCCGCTTGGAGATTTGGACTTTTCAAGCCTGGAGAGATCGCTCCCCTTCTCTTCCGGGATGTGTCCTCCGAGCTGGCAGAATTCTTTCTGGAGGAGGTGACTCCAGCCCAAGGGGGAATTTACCGCTGCTGCTACCGAAGGCCAGACTGGGGGCCGGGTGTCTGGTCCCAGCCCAGCGATGTCCTGGAGCTGCTGGTGACAGGTGAGGTCCTGGGGTCGGGGAGGAGAAGTGGGTGGAACAAGGGAGTTGGGGGAGGGACAGAGAGATATAGGGAAAGAGAGACAGAGCGAGGCGGGCAAACAGATTCACAGACACAAGAAAAGACAGATACAGAGACACTAGGGGGAGAGAGAGAGACAGGGGAGCAGAGAGAGAGAGACAGGGGAGCAGAGAGAGAGAGAGGTACAGTGCGGGGGGAGAGAGAGAGAAAGAGGCAGAAGGAGAAAGGGAGGCAGAGAGAGAGGGAGGCAGAGAGAGAGGGAGGCAGAAAGAGAGGGAGGCAGAGAGAGAGGCAGGCAGAGAGAGAGGCAGGCAGAGAGAGAGGGAGGCAGAGAGAGAGGGAGGCAGAGAGAGAGGGAGGCAGAGAGAGAGGGAGGCAGAGAGAGAGGGAGGCAGAGAGAGGGAGGCAGAGAGAGAGGCAGGCAAAGAGAGAGGCAGGCAGAGAGAGAGGGAGGCAGAGAGAGAGGGAGGCAGAGAGAGAGGGAGGCAGAGAGAGAGGGAGGCAGAGAGAGAGGGAGGCAGAGAGAGGGAGGCAGAGAGAGAGGGAGGCAGAGAGAGAGGCAGACAGAGAGAGAGACAGGCAGAGAGAAAGAGAGGCAGAAAGAGAGAGAGAGGCACAGAGAAAGCGAGAGACAGAGGAGAAGGAGAAACAGAGCGAGCGAGCGAGCGGAAGACGCTCACGCGGCCCCGGACTCTCACCCCGTCTCTGCAGAGGAGCTGCCGCGGCCGTCGCTGGTGGCGCTGCCCGGGCCGGTGGTGGGTCCTGGCGCCAACGTGAGCCTGCGCTGCGCGGGCCGCCTGCGGAACATGAGCTTCGTGCTGTACCGCGAGGGCGTGGCGGCCCCGCTGCAGTACCGCCACTCCGCGCAGCCCTGGGCCGACTTCACGCTGCTGGGCGCCCGCGCCCCCGGCACCTACAGCTGCTACTATCACACGCCCTCCGCGCCCTACGTGCTGTCGCAGCGCAGCGAGGTGCTGGTCATCAGCTGGGAAGGTGAGGGCCCTGAGGCCCGGCCCGCCTCCTCCGCCCCAGGAATGCAGGCCCCAGGACCTCCGCCCTCAGACCCAGGAGCCCAGGCCCCCAGCCTCTCCTCCTTCAGACCCAGGGGTCTAGTCCTGCAGCCCCTCCTCCCTCAGACCCAGGATTCCTGGGACCCAGCCCCTCCTCCCTCAGATCCAGGAGTCTAGTCCTCCAGCTCCTCCTCCCTCAGACCCAGGATTCCCGGGCCCCAGTACCTCCTCCCTCAGACCCAGGACTCCAGGCCCCCAGCCCCTCCTTCCTGGACCCAGGACTCCAGGCCCCCAGCCCCTCCTTCCTGATCCAGCAGTCCAGGCCCCAGCCCCTTCTTCCTGGACCCAGGAGTTGAAGCCTCCATCGACTCCCCCTCAACTTTGAGACTGTAGAGTCAGGTCCCTAAGTCCACCCCAGGGGCTGGAAACCTGGAGTTCAGGGCCCAGACTTTGGGGTCCGGGAGCTGATGGCCCCTCTCTCCCGGCTCCGCCCGCAGACTCTGGCTCCTCCGACTACACCCGGGGGAACCTAGTCCGCCTGGGGCTGGCCGGGCTGGTCCTCATCTCCCTGGGCGCGCTGGTCACTTTTGACTGGCGCAGTCAGAACCGCGCTCCTGCTGGTATCCGCCCCTGAGCCCCAGGAGCACTGCAGCCCGAGACTTCCAACCTGAGTGGCGGAGAAGCTGGGACCCTGGGCTGGACTGTCCTTTCCTGCAGCCCCACAGTCCTGCTGGCTGAGCTCCGCGGAACGGTCCTTAGACCCCGCTGTGCCCTGTGCTGTAGCTTCTTTCCAGGCCTTTCCCAAGGAGTAGCTGAAAGGAAGACGCGATTAGTGGTTAAGACTTCCAAGCCAGAAGACAGAGGGTTCGAATCCCAGCACTGCCGTCTACTCACTGTAGTAGTAGCAGCTACAGAAAGGTAGTAGTGAGACGTGAAGCCAGCTGGACTTCCTGGGTTGAATGGGGACCTGGAGAACTTTTCTGTCTTACAAGAGGATTGTAAAATGGACCAATCAGCACTCTGTAAGATGGACCAATCAGCGCTCTGTAAAATGGACCAATCAGCAGGACATGGGCGGGGACAATAAGGGAATAAAAGCTGGCGAGCGCGGCACCCCACCAGAGTCTGCTTCCACGCTGTGGGAGCTTTGTTCTCTTGCTCTACACAATAAATCTTGCTGCTGCTAACTCTTTAGGTCCGTGCCATCTTTAAGCGCTGTAACACTCACCACGAAGGTCCCTGGCTCCATTCTTAAAGTCAGCGAGACCACAAACCCACAGGAAGGAACCAACTCTGGACACGGTAGCAGCATTCAGAAAGCGCCCTTCCCCAACTCTCTCTTGCCTTGACGGTAAAATGGATGCACTGATAAAACCCACTTCATAGGATTGTTGTAGGATTCAGTGGGTAATACACATAAAACATTTAAAGCAGTAACTGGCCCGTAGTAAGTGTTCAATAAATGTTAGCTACCCTGTAACACCGATTTCTACCAGACTCAGTGCCGAAAGGAAGGTCTCACCTTTTTGCCATCAAGCATAATCAAGCACGACTTTTTCTTTCTTTCTTTCTTTTTTTTTTTTGAGAGAAGATCTCACTCCACCCAGGCTGGAGTGCAGTGGCGTGATCTCGGTTCACTGCAACATCCGCCTCCCGGGTTCAAGTGATTCTCGTGCCTCAGTCTCCTGAGTAGCTGGGATTACAGGTGTGCGCTATCACGCCCAGCTAATTTTTGTATTTTTAGTAGAGATGGAGTTTTGCCAAATTGGCCAGGTGGTCTCGAACTCCTGACCTCAAGTGATCCACCTGCCTCGGCCTCCCGAATAGCTGGGATTACAGGTGCGTACCACCATGTCCGGCTAATGTTTGTATTTTTAGTAGAGACGGGGTTTCACCATGTTGACCAGACTGGTCTTGAACTCCTGACCTCAAGTGATCCGCCCGCCTCAAGAACTGAATTTTGAAGTCTAATTAGCCACCTGGGGGCGCTAACGTGTTGAAAAGACGGGAGGAGAGACTGAGCGGGTCTTCCGGGGTTTGATCTCAGTGCCAGAGGGGCCTTGGTAGAACATATGTGGGACAACCTCCCCGGCATATGTGGCTGTGGGAAATAATAACAATTTTAAAAAAGGAATAAGCCGGGGGTGCTGGCTCACACCTGTGATCCTAGCACTTTGGGAGGCCGAGGCAGGTGGATCACGAAGTCAGAAGTTCGAGACCAGCCTGGACAACATGGTGAAACCCCGTCTCTACTAAAAATACAAAAATTAGCCGGGCGTGGTGGCGGGCGCCTGTAATCCCAGCTACTCGGGAGGCTGAGGCAGGAGAATTGCTTGAACCCAGGAGGCGGAGGTTGTAGTGAGCCGAGATTGCATCACTGCACACTCCAGCCTGGGTGACAGAGCAAAACTCCGTCTCAAAAAAAAAAAAAAAAAAAAAAAGAATAAAGAAGAGACGCAGGTTATAAGGAAGGCACCAGACCTGGATGAGGCTGTGATGTCATCAAATCCAGTCTTCCCACTTTATAAATGGGAAAATGGTGGAAAGAGAGGTGATATTAAGTTTACCTAAACATGTACAGGAAGTCAGTGGCACATCAGGGAGTCTTTTTTTTTCCTTTTTCCCTCTTTTTTTATTTTATTTTATTTTATTTTATTTTTTTTGAGGTGGACTTTCGCTCTTGTTGCCCAGGCTGGAGTGCAATGGCGCCATCTCGGCTCACCACAACCTCCGCCTCCCAGGTTCAAGTGATTCTCCTGCCTCAGCCTCCCGAGTAGCTGGGATTACAGGTGTGAGCCACCACACCTGGCTAATTTTGTATTTTGAGTAGAAACAGGGTTTCTCTGTGTTGGTCAGGCTGGCCTCGAACTCCCAAACTCAGGTGATCCGCCCGCCTCAGCCTCCCAAAGTGCTGGGATTACAGGCATGAGCCACCGTGCCCGGCCCTCTTTTTTTAAAAATGTATTTCCACCCAAAGCAGAGAAAAAGAAGTCTTGGCCGAGTTTGTACTTCAACTTAACTCCATGTATTCATCCATTCAATCACTCCTTCATTCACCATTCACTCATTCATGTCTAGCATTGATTCTCATCCTTATTCATTTCTATTGAGCATCTCTTTTTCCTTTGCTTTCATTTGTACATTTGTCTATTTCATTTGTCCTTATCCATCATGCATTCATTCATATTTCCATCCATTTACCCATCCATTTCTTCATTAACCAGTTTTTAATCCACTGAACTATTTATTCATTCAATATCCATCTATCTACCTGTGCATTTATCTATCCAATAAGCTTGAGATTTTTTTTCTTTTTGAGATGGAGTCTTGCTCTGTTTCCCAGGTTGGAGTGCAGTGTTGTGATCTCAGCTCACTACAATCTCCACCTCCCGGGTTCAAACGATTCTCCTGCCTCAGCCTCCCAAGTAGCTGGGATTACAGGCACCTGCCACCATGCCCGGCTAATTTTGTGTTTTTAGTAGAGATGGGGTTTCACCATGTTGGCCAGGCTGTTCTCGAACGCTTGACCTAAAGTGATCCATCTGCCCACCTTGGTCTCCCTTTAAAGTGCTGGGATTACAAGCGTGAGCCACCGCACCCAGCTGAGATTTCTTCATAGCAGTTTACCAGTGACCAGTGTTCAATGAATGCTTATTGAGTGAGTTGTAGTCACAATGCTTATTTCATTTTCTACCACTGAACATCTTTTCATACTGGTCATTTTGCTGGGTGATCCACATAGGTTATTTCTGATCAACAGCCCCCAAGACACACAGAAGTGCCTAACTTGGGACTTGTCTGTGTGGTTAGACTGCTGGGTCTTTTCCCCCTGTTCCTGCCTCTTAAAGCAATGACAACACTGCCATCACCACGCCTGGCCAATTTATTATTACTATTATTATTATTTTTTTTTTGAGATGGAGTCTCGCTCTGTTGCCAGGCTGTAGTGCAATGACGCGATCTCGGCTCACTGCAACCTCCGCCTCTTGGGTTCAAGTGATTCTCCTGCCTCGCCCTCCCGAGTCGCTGGGATTACAGGCGTGTGCCACCACCATGCCCAGCTAACTTTTGTATTTTTAGTAGAGATGGGGTTTCACCATGTTGGCCAGGATGGTCTCGATCTATTGACCTCGTGATCCACCCCCCTCGGCCTCCCAAAGTGCTGGAATTACAGGCGTGAGCCACCGCGCCCGGCTAATTGTTTACTTTTTATAGCTATGGGATCTCACCATGTTGTCCAGGCTGGTCTTGAATGCCTGGCCTCAAGCCATCCTCCTTCCTTGGCCTCCCAAAGTGCTGGGATTCCAGGAGTGAGTCACTGTGCCAGGCCTAGGGCTTCCACTGATTTCCCCTAGTCTCATTCATCCTCGTATCACTCATGTATTCAATGTCTACCGTGCATGGCATTGTGCTAGAGTCCGGCGGTCCAGTGGGGAGCAATAGCAGACATAAACCCTGCACTCATGGAACTCACAAAGTATTAACCAAATCACTGCATAGTGTATTGGTTACAGAGCACTTTAAGCTGTTGTAAAAAAGAATCTCCCGGCCAGGTGCAGTGGCGCACACCTGTAATCCTAGCACTTTGGGAGGCCAAGGCAGGTGGATCACCTGAGGTCAGGAGTTCGAGAGCAGCCTGATTAACATGGTGAAACCCTGTCTCTACTAAATACAAAAAATTAGCCTGGTGTGGTGGTGCATGCCTGTAATCCCAGCTACTCGGGAGGCTGAGGCAGGAGAATCACTTGAACCCGGGAGGCGGAGGTTTCACTGAGCCGAGGTCGTGCCATTGCACTCCAGCCTGGGCAACAAGAGCCAAGCTCCATCTCATAAAAAAGAGAGAGAGAGAGAAAAAAAGAATCTCCTTCACCACCGGAAAAAAACTAGATATAAATGTACCTCTCTCTCACTTAACAGTAAATCACTGGGCAATCTCAACGATTTACTTGTTAAGGTGGGATGGTTTTGCTTTTATCAACATGTAGCTTTAATTTCTGGTTCTGAGCCCCAAGAAAGAGGAGAGGACAGAGAGAAAAGGGCTCACACAATTATTATTTTTTTTTTTTTCCGAGTTGGAGTCTTGCTCTGTCGCCCAGGCTGGAGTGCAGTGGCGCGATCTCGGCTCACTGCAAGCTCCGCCTCCCGGGTTCACGCCATTCTCCTGCCTCAGCCTCCCAAGTAGCTGGGACTACAGGCGTCCACCACCACACCCGGCTAAATTTTTTTGTATTTTTAGTAGAGACGGGGTTTCACCGTGTTATCCAGGATGGTCTCGATTTCCTGACCTCGTGATCCGCCTGCCTCAGCCTCCCAAAGTACTGGGATTACAGGCGTGAGCCACTGCGCCCGGCCCACACAATTATTTTTTAAGAGCAGGACCTAGAATTTGAGCATGTATCTTCCTATCGCATCCCATTGGCTAGAACTTAGTCTCATGGACAGGTCTAGCCGCAAAAGTGACTGATGGAAATATGGTCTCTAGCCTGTGCCCTTCTAAAAATGAGGGTGGGAGGGGGTGGGATAGGTGCAGTGGCTCACTCATAATCCCAGCATTTTGGGAAACTGAGGCAGGAGGATGGCTTGAGGCCAAGAGTTTGAGACTCCCTTCTCTATTCAAAAAAAAAAAAAAAAATACAGTAGGCCAGGTGCGGTGGTTCACGCCTGTAATCCCAGCACTTTGGGAGGCCAAGGCAGGCAGATCACCTGAGGTCAGGAGTTGGAGACCACCCTGGCCAATATAGTGAAACCCCGACTCTACTAAAAATACAAAGCTGTAATCCCAGCTACTCGGGAGGCTGAGGCAGGAGAATCACTTGAACCCTGGAGGCAGAGGTTGCAGTGAGCTGATACACGCCATTGCACTCCAGCCTGGGCCACAGAGCGAGACTCCGTCTCAAAAAAAAAAAAAAAAAAAAAAAACAACGAATAAAACAAAAAAACAAAAAACAAACAAAAAAAAGTTTAATGATTTTTCTTCTCTCTAGGAGAAAATATGGAAGTAAAACAGGACCCATCTGAAGATCGTGTGTCCTCTGCTGATTTTAAATAGCCATGGAAAGTTAATGCCACCGCAAGGGGCAGCCCCGCCCTGGCACTCTGGAAACCTGGTACTTATCCACGCAATCAGAGGCTTGAACCACAGCTAAGCTGAGTCTCGGCGGGACCTCTTCTGATCCTCCGGGCACACAAGAGGATTGGGGGCTGGGGAGGAGCTGCTTCAAGGCCACCTCCGTTTTACCTCCCGTGATACCGTGATATAGTAAGAAATATGTACTTGGTCTTCAGCTTTGGTTCCAAAGACACCCTTCTCACCCCATCACTCTGGAATTTCCAAAAACCCTTGGTGAGAAGGGTGTCTTTTGTTATTTATAAGGAGCCTCTTTTCTCTCTTTCTCTCTTTCTTGCTTCCTTCCTTCCTTGCCTCCCTCCCTCCCTCCTTCCTTTTCTCTTTTCTTTTTTCTTCTTTCTTTATTTTTCTTTCTTTCTTTCTTTCTTTCTTTCTCTCTTTTCTTCTTTCTTTCTCTCTTCCCTTTCTCTCCCTTTCCTTTCCTTTCTCTCCCTTCCCCTCCCCTCCCCTCTCCTCTCCTCTCTTTTCCTTTCTTTTCCTTCCTTTCCTTCTTTCCTCTAATCCCAGCACTTTGGGAGGCCAAGGCGGGCGGATCTCTTGAGGTCAGGAGTTTCAGACCAGCCTGGCCAACATGGTGAAACCTCGTCTCTACTAAAAATACAAAAATTAATCGGGCATGGTGGCAGGCACCTGTAATTCCAGCTACTCTGGAGGCTGAGGCAGGAGAATCCCTTGAACTAGGATGCAGAGGTTGCGGTGAACCGAGATCTCACCACTGCACTCCAGCCCGGGCTACAGAGCGAGACTCCGTCTCAAGGAAATATAAAAGAAAATAAAATAAATGTCTCCCAAAGAGACAAGTCAGATTAGCCTAAACCCAGGAATAACTACAAGCAGTTTGAGGGCCAAAGGCAAGGTAGGGGCTGGCCAGATCCGATCTCCTTCACTGCCATCGTTTGCTCACTCTCGTAATTTTTGCAAAGGAGGTTTCAATTGCATGGTTGTCAGCGAACATCCTATTCATCCATTTCTTGCTTTCTACCAGTAAAATTGAACTTTATAGGCCTGCTTTGTGCTTTTAAGGCTAACTAGCAAAATTCCAGAGTTTAGCCTTAAAAAATATTTATAATTGGCCGGGCACAGTGGCTTACACCTGTAATCCCAGCACTTTGGGAGGCTGAGGCGGGTGGATCACAAGGTCCGGAGATCGAGACCATCTTGGCTAACATGGTGAAACTCCGTCTCTACTAAACACACACACACACACACACAAAAGTAGCCGGGTGTAGTGGCACACGCCTGTAGTCCCAGCACTTTGGAAGGCTGAGGTGGGCGGATCATGAGGTCAGGAGATCGAGACCATCCTGGCTAACATGGTGAAACCCCGTCTCTACTAAAAATACAAAAAAAAAAAAAAGTAGCCGGGCGTAGTGGCACATGCCTGTAGTCCCAGCTACTTGGGAGGCTGAGGCAGGAGAATCACTTGAACCCGGGAGGCAGAGGTTGCAGTGAGCTGAGATTGTGCCATTGCACTCCATCCTGGGTGACAGAGTGAGACTCCATCTAAAAAAAAAAATTCTTTATAATTGATCAAAAGAAGTTTAAGAAATGGATTAAGAAGATCTCTTCTTTGCAGCTGTAGGGGAGGAGAGGGAGCTAGAGAGAGAGAGGGCATTGAGAGAGGAGAAAAAGATATTCTGTGCCATAAAACTAATTCAAGAATGTAGTTTAGGCGAGGCATGGTGGTTCACACCTGTAATCCCAGAACTTTGGGAGGTCGAGGCAGGCGGATCACTTGGGCCCAGAAGTTCGAGACCAGCCCTGGCCAACATGGCAAAACACTGTCTCTACTAAAAGTACAAAAATTAGCCCGGCGTGGTGGCACAACCCTGTAATTCCTTGTACTTGGGAGGGCTGGGGCAAGAGAATCACTTGAACCCGAGAGGCAGAGGTTGCAGTGAGTCGAGATCACACCACTGCACTCCAACCTGGGTGACACAGTGAGACCCTGTCTTAAAAAAAAAAAAACAAAAAAAAAAAAAACAGAGTGGGGTGGGGGGCTGGGGGAGGGATAGCATTAGGAGAAATACCTAATGTAAATGATAACTTGATGGGTGGAGCAAACCAACATGGCACATGTATCAAACCTGTACATTATGCACATGTACCCTAGAACTTAAAGTAAAAAAACAAAACAAAACAAACAAACAAAAAAATGGAATGTGGATTGATAAGTTAATAAACTGAGAATATTAAAAAGGCTCTAAATGTGTTTTATAGTCTTATGTAGTATGGAGATCTATGGATATTTATTACAGCAGCCAGTGTTCCATTCTGTGGTTCCATAAATCTGTGCTTTGAAGTGTAATTTGCACAAAATAATCTTGTAGGAGTCCAAAGACATTAGAAATTATTGCCAGTATTGCAATCATTATTTTGAAGGAGAAACCTTGGTGCCATTTGGTGGTCTTACTTAATATTTTGTTGCCCTGGTAACAATCTTATGATTGACATCTGAATTTCCAAGCAGAATAAATGCTTGTAAAAACAATTCTGTTAAATCAGAAGCTATGCATTGGTGTCTGTGTCTTAGTCTGTATTCTGTTGCTTAGAACAGAACACTTGAAGCCAGATAACTTATAAAGAAAAGGAATTTATTTCCTGTAGTTAATGGAGGTTGGAAAGTCCAAGGTGGAGGGGCTGCATCTGGTGAGGACCTTCTTGCTGTTGGGGACTCTCTGGAGGGTTCCGAGGTGGCACAGGGCATCACAGGGCAAAAGAGCTGAGCGTGCTACTTAAGTCTCTCTTCCTCTTCTGATAAAGCCACCAGTCTCACTCCCAGGGTAACCCATTAATCCATTAACTCACTAATCCATTAATCCATGAATGGATTAGTTCATTCATGAGAAAAGAGTCCTCATGACCCAATCACCTCTTAAATGCCCGACCTATCAATACGGCCACATTAGGGATTCAGTTTCACCATAAGTTTATTTATTTATTATTTATTTATGTATTTTTTGAGACAATGTCTTGCTATGTCACCCAGGCTGGACAGCAGTGGCATGATCTCAGCTCATTATAACCTCCACCTCCCAGGTTCAAGTGATTCTCCTGCCTCAGCCTCCTGAGTAGCTGGTATTACAGGCACGTGCCACCATGCCCGGGTAATTTTTGTATTTTTAGTAGAGACAGGGTTTCATCATGTTGGCCAGCTAGTCTCAAACTCCTGACCTCATGTGATCTGCCCACCTTGGCTTCCTAAAGTGCTGAGATTACAGGTGTGAGCCACCACACTCAGCTTATTTACCTATTTATTTTTTGAGACAGGGTCTCACTGTGTTGCACAGGCTGGAGTGCAGTGGTGCAATCACGGTTCACTGCATCCTCAGCTTTCTGGGCTCAGGTGATCCTCCCACTTCAGCCTCCTGAGTAGCTGGGATCACAGGCATGTGCCACCTCACCTGGCTAATTTTTAAATTATTTGTAGAGACAGGGTCTCCCTATGTTGCCCAGGCTGGTTCAACATGAGTTTTCAAGGGAACAAATATTCAAACCTTAGCAGCAGGTTAAATGATCTTTCTCCCACATTTATGATCGGAAAAAAAAAATTAAAGCCTGAGACTCTGCTAGACTTCTTACTTTAACAAGAGTCTGAGAGTCTTGTTTCATTTCCATTACAGCATCTATTAATAGTTCTGACTGAGAGAAGAGCTATCCTTTACTTTGACGATTATGAAGAATAGGGGAAAAGACATTAAAAAGACACAATTACACCATTGATGATTTTGTCACAGCTGAGATAAGTGCTGTTAAAGAACTTGCAGGGAAGTCTTTGCTAAAGAAAAGATTCTGAAGCTGGTTTCTGAGGGAAGAGTCAAAGTTAGCCAAGCAAAAATGGGGGAAAAACTCCAGATACAGGAGTTTTCAGGATGTTTCAGGGTCTGAGATGGGAAGGAGGTTATGTGTTCCAACCCAGTGGTTCTCAAACTTGACTGCACATTAGAATTTCCCAGGAACATTTAAAACACAGAATGAGACACCCAGGCCTCATCCTATACCCATTATAAAAATTAAAATCTCGACTGGGCACGGTGGCTCACACCTGTAATCCCAGCACTTTGGGAGGCCAAGGTGGGCAGATCACCTGAGGTCAAGAGTTCAAGACCAGCCTGACCAACATGGAGAAATCCCATCTCTACTAAAAAATACAAAATTAACTGGGTGTGGTGGCACTTGCCTGTAATCCGAGCTACTTGGGAGGCTGAGGCAGGAGAATCGCTTGAACCCGGGAGGCAGAGGTTGCAGTGAGCTGAGATCATGCCATTGCACTTCAGCCTGGGCAACAAGAGCAAAATTCCATCTTAAAAAAACAAAAATAAAAAAATAATTAAAATCTCTCGGTGGGACTCAGGCACTCAGTAAATATATATATATCTATTTCCATTGACCATAACACATGACAGACTAAAGATGGCCTCCAATTCTTTGTCACTGTCCCTATAGAGAGGTAGAGTTTATTTTCCCTCCCCTTGAATCTGGCCTTTCCTTAAGACTGTAGAAGAAGAGAAACTGTGTCAGTTCCAGGCTTAGTCTTTAAAGGGACAAACAACTTTTGCCTTCTTTATTTTATTTATTTATTTATTTATTTGAGACAGAGTCTCATTCTGTTGCCCAGGCTGGAGTGCAGTGGTGTGATCTCGGCTCACTGCAACTTCCGCCTCCCAGGTTCAAGCAATTCTCCTGCCTCGGCCTCCTGAGTAGCTGGGATTACAGGTGTGCACAAACACACCCGGCTAATTTTTTTTAATTTTGTTTTTAGTAGAGACGGGGTTTTACCATGTTGGCCAGGCTGATGTTGAACTCCTGACCTCAGGTGATCCACCCACCTCGGCCTCCCAAAGTGCTGGGATTACAGACGTGAGCCACCATGCCCAGCCGCCTTCTCTATTTTAGAAAGCTCTCTTGTGACATCCCCTCTTGAAACCCAGATGCTATCCTCCAAGAAGTCTGAATCAAATGGAGAGGCCATGTGCAGGTACATCATTCAACAGTCCTAGCCGAGCTTTCAACCAACATCCAGCATCAACAGCCAGCCATTTGCAAGTGCCATCTTGGAGATTCCAGCTCAGTTGAGCCACCCTGATGACTGAAGCCCAGGAAGACATCACATTGAACCGAAGAACCGCTCAACTGAGCCCAGTCATCTCACCAGATCAGGAATGATTAAAAAAAAAAAAAAACAAGATTGTTACTCTAAGTTACTCAGTTTTGGGGTGGTTTGTTAACACAGTAATTGATAACCTAAACCCAAAAGAGAACTAAATAATGATGACTTAAAACTAATACCAATTGATTTCTCCCTTATGTAGAATAAATCTGAAGGGAGCAGTCCAAGGCTGGCACAGTGACTCCAAAAAGCATTATGGACCTAAGTTACTTCTGGCTCACCCTCCACCATCTTGAACCTCATCTCATCTTCATGGTTCAAGATGACGCTAGAATACCAGTCATCACATCCACATTTTAGGCAGTTAAGTGAAGGAAGGAAAGTGTACTTCATTAAAGAACCTTTTGGAAGCTGTCTACAATATTTATGCTTATTTATCATTGTCCTAGATGAAGACTTACGGCTACATCTACCTGTAAGTGACACTGAAGAATGTAGTTTTTTACCTGGGTGCCAATGGGCCCAGCTAAAAATCAGAATTCTCAACAGCAAAAGGATGGCTTTGAGATAATCATGTAGATTATGTGCAGATAACTACAGATAAGTCCCCTCCCCCAAGTCTATTTTAAATTTTCTCCTGGAGTATTTTAAAGTAAACCTCAGATATAATATGATTTCATCTATAAGACTTTTTATTTTGGTAACATATTCTTAAGGTTAGGTGTGATAAACACCTAACAAAGTGAATGATTATTTATTTATTTATTTTATTATTATTTTTTGAGATGGAGTTTCACTCTTGTTGCCCAGGCTGGGGTACAATGGTGCGATCTCAGCTCACTGCCACCTCCCCCTCCCAGGTTCAAGTGATTCTCCCACCTCAGCCTCCTGAGAAGCTGGGATTACAGGTATATACCACCAAGCCTGGCTAATTTTTGTATTTTTTGTAGAGATGGGATTAGGCCATGTTGCCCAGGCTGGTGTTGAACTCCTGGGATCAAGCCTTCCACCTACCTCACCTCCCAAAATCTTAGGATTACAGGTGTGATCCACCTTGCCTGGCCCTAAGCTATTCTTTATTCTTTCTTTTTTCGTTTTTTGAATCAGGGTCTCCTTTCTTCATTTCCAAGTGGAATGGAACTTTACCAGGCCTTTCCTGTTGACTGATAAAATTCCAGAGCCTAGTTTTAAAATATGCATATTCCTTGTTAGCAACAGAGATGTTAAGAAGAAATATAGGAGATGTCCTCTTTTCCCTGATACTGCATAAGGAGAAAGATTTTTTCTGAGTCACAACACTAATTTAAGGAATCTGATTTGATAAAGAGTTGAATTGAGAAGATTCACAAGAATATCAGTCTTGTTTTCTGGTACAATATGGAGAACTAAATGAATATTCACAAACATTACTAAATTGTTCTCTGTTGAAATAAATTCATACACAAAACTGTTATTTGAACAAAAGGGTCTTGTAAGAGTCCCAAGCCTTTAAAAATCATTGCCACATCTTGTGAAAATAACTTTCAAAGAAACACCTGTAATTATAGTTGGTTTTACTCCTTATAATTTGTTGCCTTGTTGACTTTTCTATGTTCCAAAACAGTAAGAAGAGTAGGTGCTATCAAGACAAAAAATCCGAAAACAAAAACGAGACTTCGGGGCATTTTGCTCTTCTTCCAAATGCAAGATGAAAAAAAACATGGTTAAAAACTAACTTGCTTGATTTCTTATTTTAACAAAAAAATAAAAAATTTTGTCTGATTCAAATTAACATTTTTTTTTTTTTTTTTGAGACTGAGTCTCACTCTGTTGCCCAGGCTGGAGTGCAATGGTGCGATCTCAGCTCACTGCAACCTTTGCCTCCCAGGTTCAAGCAGTTCTCCTGCCTCAGCCTCCTGAGTAGCTGGGATTACAGGCGTGCACCACCACGCCCAGCTAATTTTTGTATTTTTAGTAGAGATGAGGTTTCACCATGGTTGGCCAGGCTGGTCTCGAACTCCTGACCTCAGGTTATCTACCTGCCCCGGTCTCCCAAAGTGTTGGGATTACAGGCATGAGCCACTGCGCCAGGCTAAATTAACATAATTATCAAATGCAATCTGTAGACTTTTATTGGATCCTGATTTATTCTTTAAAAACCTGATAGAAATGACATTTTTGAGACAATCAGGGAAATTTGAGTACTGAATGGGTATTAGCTGGTATCAAGGAGGTACTCTTAACTTTCTTGATGTGACAGTGCTGTGGTGCTTATATTATTTTTAAAATGGTTCTTATTTGATAAAGATAGATATGTACTGAAATATTCTGAACTTAAAAAATGAGCTCATGACTGGCTGGGCACAGTGGCTCATGCCTGTAATCCCAGCACTTTGGGAGGCTGAGGTGGGTGGATCACTTGAGATCAGGAGTTTGAGACCAGCCTGGCCAACATGGTGAAACCTCATCTCTACTAAAAAATACAAAAATTAACTGGGCATGTTGAAGGGCTCCTGTAATCCCAGCTACTTGGGAGGCTGAGGCAGGAGAACCGCTTGAACCTGGGGGGTGGAGGTTGCAATGAGATGAGATTTTGCCACTTCACTCCAGCCTGGGCGAAAGAGTGGAACTCTGTCTCAAAAGAAAAAAAAAAAATGGTGATGAAGGCCTGGCACAGTGGCTCATGCCTGTAATCCCAGCAGTTTGGGAGGCCGAGGCAGGTGGATCACTTGAGGCGAGGAGTTCAAGACTAGCCCAGCTAACTTGTGAAACCTCATCTTAACTAAAAATACAAACATTAGCCGGGCATGGTGGCATGCGCCTATAATCCCAGCTACTTGGGAGGCTGAGGCCGGAGAATTGCTTGAACCCAGGAGGCTGAAGTTGCAATGACCTGAGATCGTGCCACTGGACTCCAGCCCAGGTAACAGAACCAGACACCATCTCAAAAAAAAAAAAAAGAGTGAAGTGCTTTCATCTCTTCAATACGAACCCTTCAGGGCCAAGTCTGAAGCATTTTCGGGGTTACCTGTTTGATGCCTGAAATCTGCCTGAGACAGAGGAGCATTTCCTGTGAGTCAAGTGCTCGAACACTGGTGTGTGTAAGGAGCATGTTGCAATCAGCAACATCAACATGTTTCCTGAATGTGGATATGGGAGGGGAAACTGAAAGGCTAGGAAAGGCTGTTACTGCCCACACTCTGGGGTGGGAGAGAGGCAGCGACGACTCCAGCTCTTCTCCCATCTGTGGACTGCAGAACCCAAGACGGACTCTGGGAGGGCTAAGGAGCCATCATGATCCCTAAGCTGCTTTCCCTCCTCTGTTTCAGTAAGTCTCACAGGGCTATCCACTGGGACTGCAGAAAATCATGGAACTGGTGGGATAGTTGGGCTGGGGATGGAAATAATAACATCAACTTTGGCTTACTGAGCACACGGGAGGAGTGAGACGTCCTGCTGAGTGCAGTGCAGACATTCCCTGGAAACGAGTGCTCTGCAAACTTCAACTCCTGTAGTTTCAACTTCGTGAGTTTTGCTGAATGCCTCCACCACCTGGCTTCATTGGCTTACCCCTTTTCTCAGGATCAACTCTGACTTTTTGTGTGTAAGTAAAAGTATTCAGAATAGAAACCTTATTTTATTTTATTTTATTTTATTTTTTTGAGACAGAGTTTTGCTCTTGTTGCCCAGGCTGTAGTGCAATGGCATGATCTCGGCTCACCACAACCTCTGCCTCCCGGGTTCAAGCGATTCTCCTGCTTCAGCCTCCTGAGTAACTGGATTACAGGGGTGCGCCACCATGCCTGGTTAATTTTTGTATTTTTAGTAGAGACAGTGTTTCACCATGTTGGCCAGGCTGGTCTCGAACTCCCGACCTCAGGTGATCTGCCCACCTCAGTCTCTCAAAGTGCTGGGATTACAGATGTGAGCCACTGTGCCTGGCCCAGAAACCTTAATACCATAAATAAAAATTTAGTGTCAAATAGATAACTATAAAGTAAATTGAGGCCGCTGTGTAACCATCACCACTATCTACACTAAAACCTCTTTCTTTCTTCCTTCCTTCCTTCCTTTCTTTCTTTTTCTCCTTCCCTTCCTTCCTTCCTTCCTTCCTTCCTTCCTTCCTCCCTTCCTTCCTCTCTCTCTCTTTCTTTCTTTTTTTTTTTTTTGAGATGGAGTCTCGCTCTGTCGCCCAGGCTGGAGTGCAGTGGTGCGATCTCTGCTCACTGCAAGCTCCGCCTCCCGGGTTCACGCCATTCTCCTGCCTCAGCCTCCCGAGTAGCTGGGACTACAGGCGCCCGCCACCATGCCCGGCTTTTTTCGTAGGTTTCACTGTGTTAGCCAGGATGGTCTCCATCTCCTGACTTCTTGATCTGCCCGCCTCGGCCTCCCAAAGTGCTGGGATTACAGGCGTGAGCCCCCGCTTGCTTGCCTGCTTGCTTGCTTGCTTGCTTTCTTTCTTTCTTTCTTTCTTTCTTTCTTTCTTTCTTTCTTTCTTTCTTTCTTTCTTTCTTTCTTTCTTCCTTCCTTCCTTTCTTTCTTTCTCTTTCTCCTTCATTCCTTCCTTCCTCTCTCTCTTTCCCTTCCTTCCTTCCTTCCTTACTTCCTTCCTTCCTTCCCTCCTTTTCCTTTTTTTGAGACAAAGTCTCACTCTGTACCCAGGCTGGAGTGCAGTGGTATGACCACAGCTCACTGCAGCCTCCACCTCCTGGGCTCAAGCAATTCTCCTGCCTCAGCCTCCTGGGTAGCTGAGATTACAGGTGCCCACCACACACCCGGCTGATTTTTTGTACTTTTTAGTAGAGACGGGGTTTCATCATGTTGGCCAGGCTGGTCTTGAGCTCCCTCAGGTGATCACCTCAGGTGATCTGCCCGCCTCAGCCTCAGCCTCCCAAAGTGCTGGGATTACAGGCGTGAGCCACAGTGCCCCGTGTAATTTTTAAATTTTTTGTAGAGACGGGATCTCACTATGTTACTCAGGCTGGTCTCAAACTCCTGGCCTCAAGCAGCCCTTCTGCCTTGGCCTCCCAAAGTGCTGGGATTACAGGCGTGAGCCACTGTGGTGGCTCTGCCACCTTTTTCTCCCATCCTGGCCCTCAGCAGAATACCCACCTCCATTAGGAAGGCCAACCTGCCCGACTCAGCATTAGATTCAAATGCTGATCTTTCTAAAAACACCCTCACAGACACGCCCAGAAATAATGTTTAACCAGATATCCCAGCATCCTGTGGCCTGGTCTAGCTGATAAATCAAATTAACAATCACAATTCCCAATATGAACGCTACACCCTCTAACCAATAACTCTGTATTTGCCGCGGTCCTCCCAGCCCCTGGTAACCTCCATTCTAATTTCTTTTTTTTTTTTTTTTTTTCGGAGATGGAGTCTTGCTTCGTCACCCAGGCTGGAGTACAGTGGCCTAATCTCAGCTCACTGCAACCTCCGCCTCCTGGGTTCAAGCGATTCTCCTGCCTCTCCCTCCCGAGTAGCTGGGATCACTGGCGCTCACCACCATGCCTGGCTAAGTTTTTTTTTTTTTTTTTTTTAGTAGAGACAAGGTTTCACCATGTTGACCAGGCTGGTCTCGATCTCCTGACTTTGTGATCTGCCTGTCTCGGCCTCCCAAAGTGCTGGGATTACAGGCGTGAGCCACCGTGTCCAGCCCATTCTAATTTTTATCTCTATGAATTTGCTTATTCTAGGATGTATGAGTGGAATCATAACACTTGTTCTTTTTTGCCTGACTTAGTTTACTCAGCATAATATCCTCGAGCTACATCTATATTGTAGGATATGTCAGATTTCCTTTCCTTTTTATGGCTAAAATCCCACTGTAGGCCGAGCACAGTGTCTCACACCTGTAATCCCAGCACTTTGAGAGTCTGAGGCAGGCAGATCGCTTGAGCCCAGGAGTTCGAGACTAGCCTGGGCAACATGGTGAAACCCTGTCTCTACAAAAAATACAAAAATGAGGCTGGGCATGGTGGCTCACGCCTGTAATCCCAGCACTTTTTTTGCAATGACCTGACGTAAGGAGTTCGAGAACAGCCTGGCCAATAGGGTGAAACCCCATTTCTACTAAAAATATAAAAATTAGCCATGCGTGGTGGCGGGCGCCTGTAATCCCAGCTACTTGGGAGGCTGAGGCAAGAGAATCGCTTGAACCCAGGAGTCAGAGGTTGCAGTGAGCCGAGATCATGCCATTGCACTCCAGTCTGGGCAACAAGAGCGAAACTCCATCTCAAAATAAATAAATAAATATTAAAAACAACAACAACAACAAAAATGAGCTGGGCATGGTGGTGTGCAGCTGTAGTCCCAGCTACTCGGGAGGCAGAGGTGGGAGGATCACCTGAGCCCAGGGAGTTGATGCTGGAATGAACTAGGATCACATCATTGCACTCCAGCCTGGGCAGCAGAGCGAGACCCTGCCTCAAAAAAAAAAAAAAAAAAAAAAGAAAGAAAGAAAAGAAAAAGAAAAAAGCATTTTGGAGGCTAAGATGGGCGGATCACCTGAGGTGGGGAGTTCAAGACCAGCCTGACCAACATGGTGAAACCCTGTCTCTACTAAAAAATACAAAATTAGCTGGGCATGGTGGTGCATGCCTGTAATCCCAGCTACTTGGGAGGCTGAGGCAGGAGAATCACTTGAACCCACAAGGCGGAGGTTGCAGTGAGCTGTAATCCCAGCTACTTGGGAGGCTGAGGCAGGAGAATCACTTGAACCTGCAAGGCGGAGGTTGCAGTGAGCTGTAATCCCAGCTACTTGGGAGGCTGAGGCAGGAGAATCACTTGAACCCGCGAGGCGGAGGTTGCAGTGAGCCGAGATCGCGCCATTGCACTCCAGCCTGGGCAACAAGAATGAAACTATGTCTCAAAAAAAAAAAAAAAAAAAACGAAGAAAAAGAAGAAAAATCCCATTGAATATATAGAGCACACTGTGTTTATCCATTCTTCCATGGATGGACACTTACGTTGTTTGAACATTTTGGGTGTTCACAATTTCCTTTTGCAAAACTTGAAGTGTCAGTTTATGGATTGGCTCATGGATGTAATAGTAGCACAAACGCCTGGTAACTTCTCCTTTTTCCTGCTGAGACCTAAAACTGTTCACACAGGGGAAAAAGAGGAAATCTCTCAGAGACACAGGCCTAACTAACTTTCTTTGAGTTAGATCAATCTCATTATTATGATAATGTTCATAAACAGGCTTGATATTATGTTTTTTCTTTTCTTTCTCTTTTTTTTTTCTTTCCTGAAACTGAGTCTCGCGCTGTGGCCAGGCTGGAGTGCAGTGGTGCGATCTCAGCTCATTGCAAACTCTGCCTCCTGGGTTCAAGCGATTCTCTGCCTCAGCCTCCTGAGTAGCTGGGATCACAGGCGCCCATCACCACACCTGGCTAATTTTTGTATTTTTAGTATAGACGGGGTTTCACCATGTTGGCCAGGCTGGTCTTCAACTCCTGACCTCGTGATCCACCTGCCTCGGCCTCCCAAAGTGCTGGGATTACAGGCGGGAGCCACCGCGCCCGGCATGGTCAAGAGTTCTTAACCAGCCCAGCCCTGTCTCTATCAAAAAAAATTAAAAAGGAGGAAGAGCAAATGCAGCCATGTGTGAAACAGGGAGGAACGTATGCTTTCCCCTTTCTGGAATGACCATTTGGATGTTTTGAGGCTTGTTACAGGACACCAAACAATAAATTTTGTCCTGTTTGGAGTCATGAAGGGATTAAAAGAGATCATGAGCCTGGGCAACATAGGGAGACTCTGTCTCTGGGAAAGACTAAAAAATTAGCCGGGTGTGGTGGTGCACACCTGTGATCCCAGCTACTCGGGAGGCTGAGGTGGGAGGATCACTTGAGCCTGGGAGGCTACAGTGAGCCATGATGGAGCCACTGCACTCCAACCTGGGCAACAGAGAGAGACCCTGTCTCAAAACACAATAATAAAATGAAAAATTAAAAAATAAAAAGAAGCTGGGCACAAAGCTCATGCCTGTAATCCCGGCACTTTGGGAGGCCGAGGTGGGTGGATCACCTGAGGTCAGGAGTTCGAGACCAGCCTGGCCAATATGGTGAAACCCTGTCTCTACTAATAATACAAAACTCAGCCGGGCGTCCTGGCGCATGCCTGTGATCCCAGCTATTTGGGAGGCTGAGGCAGGAGAATCACTTGAACCCGGGAGGCGGAGGTTGCAGTGAGCCGAGATTGCGTCACTCTACTCCAGCCTGGGCGACAGAGCGCAACTCTGTCTCTGGAATGAATGAAAGAAAGAAAGAATGAATGAAAGAAAGAAAGAATGAATGAAAGAAAGAAAGAAAGAAAAAGAAAGAAAGAGCGAGACTCTGTCTCTGGAATGAATGAAAGAAAGAATGAATGAAAGAAAGAAAAAAGAAAGAAAGAAAGGAAAGAAAAAGAAAGAAAGAAAGAAATGGTAAGAATGAGTGCTGTTTTCAAACAGAAGATGAGAATGGAAGGATTTGTGGGAAAGGCCTGGAGCAGGGGGAGGTGACAGCCACACAGGATGGTCAAGGAGAATCGCTGGGAAAGGATGGAGGAGCTGGAAGTCGAGCAGAAGCCACAGTCCAGTGTGGGGAGAATGAGAACTCCTGAGCGTATGACCTCTAAGGGTCTGTTCTCAGCAGGAGACTCTGGGACGATCTCCAGGGGTCAGGGCAGGGGGTGACGTGGCTCCAGGTAGGGGCTTCTGGCTCACGGAGGATTGTCTTGCAGGACTGTGCGTGGGCCAAGGAGACACAAGGGGAGATGGTGAGTGTTTCTTCAACTACACCCTCCTTGGCCTGTCATCCCAAATCCCCTGCTGTTCTCTTCCCCTTCCCCCTCTTTTTCTCTTTTTTTTTTGACGGAGTCTCACTCTTTCGCCAGGCTGGAGTGCGGTGGTGCAATCTCGGCTTACAGCAACCTCCGCCTCCTGGGCTCAAGTGATTCTCCTGTCTCAGCCTCCCAAGTAGCTGGGACTACGGGTGCTTGCCACCACGCCCAGCTAATTTTTGTATTTTTAGTAGAGACGGAGTTTCACCATGTTGGCCAGGATGGTCTCGATCTCATGACCTCGTGATCTGCCTGCCTTGGCCTCCCAAGGTGCTGGGATTACAGGCGTGAGCCACCGCACCCAGCCCGCTTCCCTTCTTAAAATGGGATTCCTGATTGGGCTCAGGGGTTCACGCCTGTAATCCCAGCACTTTGGGAGGCCAAGGTGGGTGGATCACCTGAGGTCAGGAGTTCGAGACCAGCCTGGCCAACATGGTGAAACCTTGTCTCTACTAAAATACAAAATTAGCTGGGTGTGGTGGTGCGTGCCTGTAATCCCACCTACTTGGGAGGCTGAGGCAGGAGAATTGCTTTAACCCAGGAGACGGAGGTTGCAGTGAACTGAGATTGCACCACTGCACTCTAGCCTGGGCAACAGAGGGAGACTCCATCTCAAAATAATAATAATAATAATAAATTTTAAAAAGGGCTTCCTGAGAGCAGGGGAGGGCATCGGGTCCAGCATCAGGCTCTGCTTCCTTCCAGGGTCACTGCCCAAGCCGTCCCTCAGTGCCTGGCCCAGCTCGGTGGTCCCTGCCAACAGCAATGTGACGCTGCGATGTTGGACTCCTGCCAGAGGTGTGAGCTTTGTTCTCAGGAAGGGAGGAATTATTCTGGAGTCCCCGAAGCCCCTTGATTCTACAGAGGGCGCGGCCGAATTTCACCTCAATAATCTAAAAGTCAGAAATGCTGGAGAGTACACCTGTGAATACTACAGAAAAGCATCCCCCCACATCCTTTCACAGCGCAGTGACGTCCTTCTACTGTTGGTGACAGGTACAGACAGGGTGCCTGCCAATGACATACGGGGGACAGGGGATGAGGGAGGAAGTGGAGGAACAGAGGGAGAAAAGGGGTCCCACCTTCAGAGTAGTTGGGGGTGATGGGAGAGGGAGAGAGACAGGAACGAAATTGCATATGTTGGTTTTATACTTTGTCGCCCAGGCCAGAGTGCAGTGGTGCCATCTCGGCTCACTGCAACTTCCGCCTCCTGGGCTCAAGTGATTCTCCTGCTCCAGCCTCCTGAGCAGCTGGGATTACAGGTGCCTGCCACCATGCCCGGCTAATTTTTGTATTTTTAGTAGAGACAGGGTTTCGCCATGTTGGGCAGGCTGGTCTCGAACTCCTGACCTCAGGTGATCCACCCGCCTTGGCCTCCCAAAGTGCTGGGATTACAGGTGTGAGCCACCATGCCAGGCCTTACACAGGTCTTGTAGGAGGGAGAATCTCTGTCCTGGGGTCGGAGTAGGAAGTGGAGGAAGGTAGAAGAGATCAGGAATCTCTCATTTCCCACACTCCACGAGAGCCTCCGGCCAGGAGAACAGGGGTGAGTGGGGGATTCCAGACTTCTCCCCAGGACCTCAGAACCTGACTTCTCTTACAGGACATTTATCTAAACCTTTCCTCCGAACCTACCAAAGGGGTACAGTGACCGCAGGTGGAAGGGTGACTCTGCAGTGCCAGAAGCGAGACCAATTGTTTGTGCCTATCATGTTCGCTCTACTGAAGGCAGGGACGCCATCACCCATCCAGCTGCAGAGTCCAGCGGGGAAGGAGATAGACTTCTCTCTGGTGGACGTGACAGCCGGCGATGCTGGGAACTACAGCTGCATGTACTACCAGACAAAGTCTCCCTTCTGGGCCTCAGAACCCAGTGATCAGCTTGAGATATTGGTGACAGGTAAGGGCGTGTATGGTTTTGAGGAACTGTGTGTGTTGTTTTTAATCAGAGATTGTTTTGTTCTTCTGTGAATCTCATTTCTTCATTACTTACAATATCATCGCTCTTAACAAAATCTTCCCTTTCTGGCCTGGCGTGGTGGCTCATGCCTGTCATCCCAGCACTTTGGGAGGCCGAGGTGGATGGATCATCTGAGGTCAAGGATTTGAGACCAGCCTGGCCAACATAGTGAAACCCCGTCTCTACTAAAAATAAAAAATTAGCCAGGTATGATGGCATGCACCTGTAGACCCAGCTACTTGGGAGGCTGAGGCAGGAGAATTGCTTGAACATGGGAGGCGGAGGTTGCAGTGAGCCAAGATCTTGCCACTGCACTCCAGCCTGGGCAATAGAGTGAGACTCTGTCTCAAAAACAAAAAACAAAAAACAAAAACAAAAACAACAAAACAACAAAAAAACCTCCCTTTCACAATTTCCACTCCTTTGCCTTTTTTTTTTTTTTTTTTTTTTGAAATGGAGTCTCACTCTGTTGCCAGGATGGAGTGCAATGGCGCGATCTTCGCTCACTGCAACCTCCACCTTCCAGGTTCAAGTGATTCTCCTGCCTCAGCCTCCCAAGTAGCTAGGATTACAGGCCTGCACCACCCATCCGGCTAATTTTTCTATTTTTAGTAGCGATGAAGGTTTCACCGTGTTGACCAGGCTGGTCTTGAACTCCTGACCTCAGGTGATCTGCCTGCCTCGGCCTCCCAAAGTGCTGGGATTACAGGTGTGAGCCACCGTGCCCGGCCCTCCTTTGCCTTTTTGTTATACTACATCCTTGGAAAATTTCTAGGCTGTTTTTGAAAATTATGAATCTACCAGCACCAGATTCCTTCTACCAGTCTTTGCATCTCTTAGCGTTTTGGTTTTTTGTTTTGTTTTGTTTCATTTTGTTTTTGAGACAGAGTCTCGCTCTGTTGCCCAGGGTGGAGTGCAGTGGTGCGATCTCAGCTCACTGCAACCTCTGCCTCCCGAGTTTAAGCAATTCTCCTGCCTCAGCCACTTGAGTAGCTGGGATTACATGTGCCCACCACCACGCCTGGCTAATTTTTGTATTTTTAGTAGAGATGGGGTTCTGACCATGTTGACCAGGCTGGTCTTGAACCCCTGGCCTCAGGTGATCCACTCACCTCGGCCTCCCAAAGGGCTGGGATTGCAGGTGTGAACCACTGTGCATGGCGTGTTTTGGTTTTTCTTGGTGTTAGTGATTTCACTCTCAATAATTCTTTCTCAGTCATGTGCGGTGGCTCAGGCCTGTAATCCCAGCACTTTGGGAGGCTGAGGCTGGAGAATTGCTTGAGCCCAGGAGTTTGAGACCAGCCTGGGCAACATAGTGAGACCCAGTTTCAAATTAAAAAAAAAAATTATCTCATCCTCAGAACATGGTGTTTGCACAGCCTCCTGCTTCTATGCCGTGGATGCGAAGTCTACCCATGTCTTTTATTGACTGCTAGAATTCTTCTGAAAGTATCTTGTTTCCTGCCTTACTGGGTGCTAGCACTCTGCTTCCTCAGCTCTGTAAATTATTTTTCATCTATTGTAACTGCTGTAATGAGTTACATTACAGCTCTTGCCGGGTGCCTGGATGAAGCCCATTCATCAAGACAGAGGAATTGCAAAAAAGAGTTTAATACACATTGAGCCAGGTAAGTGGGAGACCAGAGTTTTTTTGTTTGTTTGTTTGTTTGAGACGGAGTCTTGCTCTGTCGCCCAGGCTGGAGTGCAGTGGCGCGATCTCGGCTCAATGAAACCTCTGCCTCCCAGGTTCAAACGATTCTTCTGCCTCAGCCTCCCGAGTAGCTGGGACTATATGTGTGCCACCCTGCCTGGCTAATTTTTGTATTTTTAGTAGAGATGGGGTTTTACCATATTGGCCAGGCTGGTCTCGAACTCCTGACCTCGTGATCTGCCCGCTTGGGCCTCCCAAAGTGCTGGGATTACAGGCATGAGCCACTGCACCTGGCCAATCAGAGTTTTATTATTACTCAAATCAGCCTCCCTGAAAATCTGGAGGCTAGGGTTTTGTTTGTTTGTTTGTTTTCTTTGAGATGGAGTCTCACTCTGTCGCCCAAGCTGGAGTGTAGTGGCACAATCTGAGCTCACTGCAGCCTCCACCCCCCAACCCCAGGCCCAGGTCAAGTAATTCTCCTGCCTCAGCCTCCTGAGTAGCTGGGATTACAGGCACCCGCCACCACACCCGGCTAATTTTTTTGTATTTTTAGTAGACATGGGGTTTCGCCATGTTGCCCAGGCTGCTCTCAAACTCCTGGCCTCAAGCAATCCTCCTACCTTAGCCTCCCACAGTGCTGGGATTACAGGCGTGAGCTACTGTGCCCGGCCTCAACTCAAACTTTCTCAGGTGCACTGCTGCACAGCAGTGTGGGCTGCGAGGATGCTGATCCAGCCACGGAATTCGGGGCTCTGTAGAGCTCCTTCCGTCTCATGTGCTGCCCCAAGACTATTCCTTAACATAAGGATGCGGGAGGAGAAAAGGCAATGTGGGAAGGTGGAAATGGGATAAAGAGCAAATAAACGAAGGAAGAGAGCTAAGGTGGAGTGAATATCAAGGAAGGAAGATAAAGGAACTCCCATTACAACTCATTAGGATTGCATATCTTGGCCGGGCGCGGTGGCTCAGGCCTGTAATCCCAGCACCTTGGGAGGCCGAGGCAGGCGAATCACTTGAGGCCAGGAGTTCGAAACCAGTTTGGCCAACATGGCGAAAACCCATCTCTATTAAAAATACAAAAATTAGCCGGGTGTGGTGGTAGGTGCCTGTAATCCTAGCTATTCGGGAGGCTGAGGCAGGAGAATCGCTTGAACCCAGGAGGTGGAGGTTGCAGTGAACCGAGACTGCGTCGCTGCACTCCAGCCTGAGCAACAGAGTGAGACGTCGTCTCAAAAACAACAACAAAGATTCCATCTTTTGTTTTCAGGGATTAAAACTTTAAAGAGCTCAATTATGGCCAGGCATGGTGGTTTATGCCTATAATCCCAACACTTTGGGAGGCCAAGGCGGGTGGATCACCTGAGGTCAGGAGTTCGAGACCAGCCTGACCAACATGGAGAAACCCCGTCTCTACTAAAAATACAAAATTAGCCGGGTGTGGTGGCACATGCTCATAATCTCAGCTGCTTGGGAGGCTGAGACAGGAGAATCACTTGAACCCGGGAGGCAGAGGTTGTAGTGAGCTGAGATTGTGCCATTACACTCCAGTCTGGGCAACAAGAGCAAAACTTGATCTCAAGAAAAAAAAAAAGTTCAATTAAAACTTTAAAGTACAGTGGACTACTGGCTAGAAAACATTAAGTGGGTGGCCGGGCGCGGTGGCTCACACCTGTAATCCCAGCACTTTGGGAGGCTGAGGTGGGCGGGTCACCTGAGGTCGGGAGTTCAAGACCAGCCTGGCCAACATGGCGAAACCCCGTCTCTACTAAAAATATAAAATTAGCCGGGCATGGTGGCACATGCCTGTAATCCCAGCTACTTGGGAGGCTGAGGCAGGGAGGCTTGAACCTGGGAGGCAGAGGTTGTGGTGAGCTGAGATTACACCACTGCACTCCAGCCTGGTCAACAAGAGTAAAACTCCGTCTCAAAAAAAAAAACCAAAAAACCGAAAACATTAAGTGGGTGATGATAGTCAGATTTGGTGGGGCCATTTGAGAAGGAGGGATACCCTCTGAGGGTCAGTGCTGAGCCCCTTCTCTCTTTCAGTTCCCCCAGGTACCACATCGAGCAACTACTCCCTGGGTAACTTCGTACGACTGGGTCTGGCTGCCGTAATTGTGGTTATCATGGGAGCTTTCCTGGTGGAGGCCTGGTACAGCCGGAATGTGTCTCCAGGTGAATCAGAGGCCTTCAAACCAGAGTGACTCCATCTTGAACCGGGGCTGGGTAAACTGAGGCTGCAACCTGCTGGACTGCATTCCCAGGGGGTTGAGGCTTTCTAAGTCACAGGATGAGACAGGTCACAACATACAGGTCACAAAGACCCAAAGACACAAAGATGCAACAAAGAAGCCAGCCAAAACCTGCCAAATCCAAGATGGCAACAAAAGTGACTTCTGGTCGTCCTCACTGCACATTATTTGCTAATTATAATGCATTTGCATGCTAAAAGACACTCCCACCGCCACCAAGACAGCTTACAGATGCCATGGCAACTTCCAGAAGCTAAACGAGGGAGGGACTCTCAGTTCCAGGGAAATCCCCTCCCCTTTCCTGGAAAACTCATGAACAGTCCACCCCTTGTTTAGCATACGATCAAGAAATAACCACAAAAATAGCCGACTGACAGCCCTCTGGACTGCTCTGCCTATGGAGCAGCCATATTCCTTGACTTTCTTAATAAACTTGCCTTCACTTTACTCTGTGTACTCACCCTGAGTTCTTACTTGTGTGAGATCCGAGAACCCTCTCTTGGGGTCTGGACTGGGACCCCTTTCCAGTAACAGATCCAAGTTAAAACACGGATCCCCTCTCTCTTTCATGGGCTGCTGTAGAGATATGGAATTCTCTTCTGCTCCAGATTTATTGAGATCTAATCGACAAATAAAAATGGAGTTATATTTGTGTACAACGTGATGTTTTGATATATTCCATTTTGATTTATCAATTATACCCCCATAAGCCTACGGGTGGGGAACCCTCCTACTAAGTAATTTATTGTGTACCAAGGAAGAAATTTCACTGATTGTGACATGAGTATCACAATGTAGCTAACGAACCTTTCTGTTTAAGATCCACCTTCTGGGAACCTCCCTACTAAATAATTAATTGTGTACCAAAGAAGAAATTTCACTAATTGTGACATGATTATCACAATGTAGCTAATGGACTTTTCTGTTTAAGATCCACCTTCTGGGAACTTTCCTACTAACTAAGTAATTAATTGTGTGCCGAGGAAGAAATTTCACTCATTGTGACAATGGTTATCTCAATCTAGCTTATGGACCTTTCTGTTTAAGATCCACCTTCTTAGCAAATTGTAATTACCCAGTGCAGCCTTGTGAACTGTAGCCGCCCTGCTGTGCATTCAATCCATATGGGGTTCTTTAAACATCAGACTCTACCATGGGGACTTCACACGTTTCTCCACATGGGCACAAATGGTATTTTTTGTTTTTTTGTTTGTTTGTTTGTTTTGAGACAGAGTCTCGCTTTGTCGCCCAGGCCAGAGTGCAGTGGTGCGATCTCGGCTCATTGCAACCTCCGCCTGCCAGGTTCAAGTGATTCTCCTGCCTCAGCCTCCCAAGTGGCTGCAACTACAGGCACCTGCCACCATCTGGCTAATTTTTTTGTATTTTTAGGAGAGACGGGGTTTCGCCACATTGGTCAGGCTGGTCTCGAACTCCTGGCCTCAAGTGATCCACCTGCCTCAGCCTCCCAAAGTGCTGGGATTACAGGTGTGCACCACCGGGCATGGCCACAAATGGTGTTTAAAGTGCAATAGTCCTTCACCATGTGAGACTGTCTTGTCCATTATAGGAACACGTAACTCGACATTGCTAATACTTCCTTTCCCATTGAACACCTGTTGGAGACCTAATTATTGTGAAACAACAACAACAAAAAAGCCACTACTCTCATACCTTTCAAATATCCCTGGATGGGGCGATGGGAAGTGAGGGTGGTGCTCCCCCTGGTTGAAAAGCTGTGTTTGGATGCCGGGAGAAAACAATCTTCCTCCTCTTCCTTCCCCTCTAAGCTCAGCTCTGTTCTTCTCTAGCCATAGATCCCACAGCTGCCCAGGGAATGATGGGTTGGACCAGCTGAGCCTTAACCGCTTTCTGTGGAACCTGCACTCTCAGCTCTGTTGGGATCTGCTGTAGGGCAGGATGGTGGCTTTCTTCTTCCTGTACTTTTCACTGGGGACAGAGGACAGAATTGGGCACAATGAGCCACGTAATACTTTTTTTTTTTTTCTTTGAGACGGAGTCTCGCTCTGTCACCCAGGCTGCAGTGCAATGGCAAGATCTCGGCTCACTGCAACCTCCACCTCCTGGGTTTAAGCGATTCTCCTGCCTTAGCCTCCCAAGTCGCTGGGATTACAGGCGCCTGCCACCATGCCCAGCTAATTTTTGTACTTTTAGTAGAGATGGGGTTTCACCCATGTTGGCCAGGCTGGTCTTGAACACCTGAGCTCAAGTGATCAGCCCACCTCGGCCTCCCAAAGTGCTGGGATTGCAGGCTTGAGTCACCGTGCCCAGCCCTTAATACATTTTTGATAACTTGAATCAATACTTAAAACTTCAGAGTCAGATTGAGTAGTAGGTGACTCTCACCTGCGGGGAACTCTTCCTCCACACGAAGGGAAAAACATTGCTTCCTGTGTAATATTTATTAATACTTCCTCTCCGTTCTTTCTATTTTGTGCTTCTGGACCAGCATTTAGTCCAATATTGGGATATACATATTTATTTATTTATTATATTTATTTATTTTGAGACAGGGTCTCACTCTGTCGCCCAGGCTGGAGTGTAGTGGCTAGATCACGGCTCACTGCAGCCTCGACCTCCCAGGCTAAAGTAATCCTCCCATCTCAGCCTTCTGAGTAGCTGGGACCACAGGTGTGTGCCATCATGCCGGACTAAATTTTGTATTTTTTGTAGAAGCCGGGTTCCACCATATGGCCCAACTTGGTCTCGAACTCTTGGACTCAAGTGATCCTCTCATCTTGGCCTCCCAAAGTGCCAGGACTACAGGCGTTAGCCACTGTGCTTGGTCATATGTATTTATAATACATTCTTTCTTTCTTTTTTTTTGGAGAGGGAGTCTCACTCTGTCACCCAGGCTGGAGTGCAGTGGCGTAATTTCAGCTCACTGCAACCTCCCTCTCAGGTTCAAGTGACTCTCCTGCCTCAGCCTCTCAAGTAGCTGGGATTACAGGCGCCCACCACCATGCCTGGCTAATTTTTGTGTGTTAGTAGAGACGGGGTTTCACCATGTTGGCGAGGCTGGTCTCGAACTCCTGACCTCAAGTGATCTGCCCACCTTGGCTTCCCAAAGTGCTGGGATTACAGGCATGAGCCACCACGCCCAGCCTGTATTTATAATACATTTCTTTTACATTTTATTTTATATGTTTCCAACATTTTACCCAGTTTGGCAGGAATTCCATTCTATCCATGGCATCCATTTGCTTGTAATTGGTAGCCAGTCTTACTGGTGCAGATGTAAAATGTCAACAGTTGCCAGGTGCTGTGGCTCATGCCTATAATCCCAGCACTCTGGGAGGCCGAGGTGGGCGGATCACAAGGTCAAGAGATCGAGACCATCCTGGCCAATATGGTGAAACCCCATCTCTACTAAAAATACAAAAATTAGCTGGGCGTGGTGGTGCATGCCTGTAATCCCAGCTACTCAGGAGGCTGAGGCAGGAGAATTGCTGGAACCCGGGAGGCAGAGGTTGCAGTGAGCCGAGATCTCACCACTGCACTGCAGCCTGGGCGACAGAGCGAGACTCCGTCTCAAAAAAAAAAAAAAAAAAAAAGTCAACATTTATGTTTTGTTGTTACATTTTGTTTTCAAGATTTGTTGCTGTTTCTTGTTAATAGTCTTATTATTTTTCGTAAATATCATTCTTATTTTATAACTATTGTCTCCTCTGTTATAACTCTGAGGATGTGCTTATCAAAGCAATATTCCTCCTCTTCCTCCACTAACCACAGGTTGGTCCTTCTCTATCCACAGACCACACAGCTGCCAAGGGTAGCATGCGCTAGAGCTGCCGATCCTTAGAGTTTCCTGTGCAGCCAGCATTTCCAGCTGTTTGAGAGCCGCACCAGGACAGGACGATGGCTTTCTTCCCATCCTCCTCACTTAGGACAGGACGGGGTGGGCACAGGGACCCATCCAGCAAGTTATTATTTTTGTAGTTATTAAGATAGAAAGTATAGGCCGGGCATGGTGGCTCACACCTGTAATCCCGCCTCAGCCTCCCAAAGTGCTGGGATTACAGCGGTAAGTCATCATGCCCAGACGATTATTTTTTATTTGTATACGTTTATGGGGTACAAGTGTAACTTTATTGCATGGATAGATTCCAAAATGATGAAGTTAGGGCTTTCAGGTATCCACTAACCCAGTGACACACATTGTATCCATTAGATAATTCTTTTTTTTTGATGGAGTCTTGCTCTGTGACCCAGGCTGGAGTGCAGTGGCGTGATCTCAGCTCACTGCAACCTCCGCCTCCCGGGTTCAAGCGATTCTCCTGCCTCAGCCTCCTGAGTAGCTGGGACTATGGGCGTGTGCCACCACGCCCGGCTAATGTATCCATCATCATAACACACAACCATTTGAATGAATCTCACAGGCATTGTGCTGAGTGAAAAAGGTCACCCTCAGAAGGTGAGGCGATGGACGATTCCATTTATACAAGAGTCTCAAAGTGACAAAGTGATAGAGACGTAGAACAGATTAGCAGGTGCTAGGGTGGGAGAGCGATTATAAAGGGGCAGCATGAGGGAGTTCCTACGTGGTGGTGGGACAGTTCTGTGTCTTGATTGTGGCGGTGGTTCTATAAAGCCATACATACAGGCAATAAAATGTTACAGAACTATACCCATAGGCAAAGAAAAGGGAGGAGGAAAAGAAGGTGGAAGAGGAGGAAGAGCAGGAGAAAAGAAGGAAAAGGAGAAAAGGAAATAGAAATAGAAGGAAGAGGAAGAGAAAAAGAGAAACGAATTATGCACAAACTGGTGAGATCTGAGTGACCTCTGGAACCTGGTTAAACGTGTGATGCCAGTGCAAAGTCTCTGGTTTTGAAAATGTGCCATACGCCGGGCGTGGTGGCTCACGCCTGTAATCCCAGCAGTTTGGGAGGCCGAGGCAGGCGGATCGCCTGAGGTCAGAAGTTCGAGACCAGCCTGGGCAACATGGCAAAACCTCGTTTCTACTAAAAAGAACAAAAAAAATTAGCCAAGAGTGGTGGCGGACACCTGTCATCCCGGCAACTCGGGAGGCTGAGGCAGGAGAATCGCTTGAACCCGGGAGGCAGAGGTTGCAGTGAGCCAAGATTGTGCCACTGCACTCCAGCCTGGCTGACAGAGATTCTGTCTCAAAAAAAAAAAAAAAAAAAAAAAGTACTGTAATTATAAGAGATTACCATTGGCCGGGCACAGTGGCTTATGCCTGTAATCCCAGCACTTTGGGAGGCTGAGGTGGGCGGGTCACTAGAGACCAGGAGTTCAAGACCAGCCTGGCCCACATGGTGAAATCCCATCTCTACAAAAAATTAGCTGGGTGTGGTGGTGCATGCTTGTAATCCCAGCTACTTGGGAGTCTGAGGCAGGAGAATCCTTAAACCCATGAGGCAGAGGTTGCAGTGAGCCGAGATCGCGCCACTGCACTCCAGCCTGGGTGACAGAGCAAGACTCTGTCCCCCCCGCCCCCCAAAAAAAGGTTAACATTGTGGGGAGCTGGCTAGTGGGTACACGGAAGCTATAAAGCTATAGGTATTAATGTTTGTTTGTTTGCTTGTTTGAGACAGTTTCACCGTTGTTGTCCAGGCTGGAGTGCAGTGGCACAATCTTGGCTCACAGCAACCTCCGCCTCCTGGGTTCAAGCCATTCTCCTGTCTCAGCCTCCGGAGTAGCTGGGATTACAGGCATGCGCCACCATGCCTGGCTAATTTTGTATTTTTAGTAGAGACGGGGGTTTCTCCATTTTGGTCAGGCTGGTCTTGAACTCCCGACCTCAGGTGATCCGCCCGCCTCAGCCTCTCAAGGTGCTGGGATTACAGGCGTGAGCCACCGCGTCCGGCCGGTATTAGTGTTTTAAAATAAAAAATTACATTTACAGAAAACTCTTGGCAGAACTTCAGATAAGGTAGGACAGAGCTCGGGCGGGTGGGGCCACACACACCGGATTCATGGGGAAGAAGTTATCATCGACGGCTTCTTGTTTCCTGAGTCGGTTGTGAGAAGGAAACTGCAAGAGTGGGGCAGAGAACCAGAGTGTCAGAGCAAAACCTCCTCTATCTGCACATCCTGGGGACGAACCGGGCAGCCGGAGAGCTGCGGCCGGCCCAGTCCCGCTCCGCCTTTGAAGGGTAAAACCCAAGGCGGGGCCTTGGTTCTGGCAGAAGGGACGCTATGACCGCAGAATTCCTCTCCCTGCTTTGCCTCGGTGAGTCTCCAGGACTGGGACGAATGGGCTTGGGCTGGTGAGAAAAACTCATGTGGGAGTGGCAGTCCAGGTGGAAATGCGGTGTGTGGAAGTAATGACTTCCAGGTGTTGCACACCTGCGGTGGGTGGGTCTGGGCTGTGGGTTCTGTGAGTTCTGCCGCCCACATGCAAGCGAGGAGGAGGCCGCGCTGCAGAGACACGGGGACAGACTCCGCTGGGAAAGGCAGAGCTGCTGTGGGGTCTCCGAGTCTGCAGCCGCTAAATACCGCAGTACTGCCATCATCCTCCGTCGGAATAGAGGAGGGCTGGGCTTAGGGATCTACAGGGTGCAAGGCTGTGGGCAAAAAGACAATTTTCTTCTCTCTCTCTCTTATTTATTTATTTATGTATGTATGCATTTATTTATGAGACAGAGTCTCACTCTGTAGCCCAGGCTGGAGTGCAATGGCGTGATCTGGGCTCACTGCAACCTCCGTCTCCCAGGTTCAAGCGATTCTCCTGCCTCAGCCTCCCGAGTAGGTGGGACTACAGGTGCAGGCCACCACACCCGGCTGACTTTTGTATTTTAAGTAGAGACGGGGTTTCACCATGTTGGTCAGGCTGGTCTCGAGCCCCTGACCTCAGGTGATCCGCCCGCCTCAGCCTCCCAAAGTGCTGGGATTACAGGCGTGAGCCACCACACCTGGCCCCAAGAAGACAATTTTCTGACCAGCTCGATTCTTAGGCTGATTTTAACCATCCTCCAATTGAACCTGATGTATTCAGACAGAGCTCACACTGTGAAACGGATGACCTGGGTTATAATCTCGGCTTTACTACATAGAAACTCTAGGCTTGACCCAGCAGAGCTCCACCTCCCTAAGGCCCCAGTTCCTCCCTGGTGCACGGGGGGTGCGGTGGACATCGACGTGCTTCGTCTGCTTCAGTTCCTTCCTCCTTTTCTGGGTGCAGCCCTTCCTTGTGGGGTAATGCTCGTCTCCTACACACATTTGCACCTTAGATGAGCATTTTTTTTTTTTTTTGACAGAGTCTTGCTTTGTCTCCCAGGCTGGAGTGCAGTGGTGTGATCTCAGCTCACTGCAACCTCCACCTCCTGGGTTCAAGCGATTCTCCTGCCTCCGCCTCCCGAGAAGCTGGGATTATAGGCACACGCCACCACGCCTGGCTAATTTTTTGTGTTTTTAGTAGAGATGGGGTTTCACCATGTTGGCCAGGCTGGTCTCAAACTCCTGAACTCAGGTGATCTACCCACTTCAACCTCCTAAAGTGCTGGGATTACAGGTGTGAGCCACTGCACCCGGCTATTTGTGCCTTAGAGATGACTATCGGGTTCATACCCAAGCCTCCAGCTGCTGAGCACAGTAAGCTGGGCAACCAGGAGACTGACCTCATCCCCCAATGGCTGCCATACCAAAGTACTACAAGCCTGGTGGCTTAAAGGAATTAGAATTGCTTTAAGTTGGGGAGATGAGAAGTCTGAAACCAAGGTGTTTGCAATGTTGATTCCTTCTGAGAACTATGAAGGAGCGTCTGTTTTATGCCCCTCTTCTAGTGATGGCTGACAATTCTTGGCATTTTTTTTTTTTCTTGAGGCGGAGTCTTGCTCTGTCACCCAGGCTAGAGTGCAGTGGCATGATCTTTCTCACTGCAACCTCCACCTCCTGGGTTCAATCAATTCTCCTGCCTTAGCCTCCCAAGTAGCTGGGATTACAAGCATGGACCACCATGCCTGGCTAATTTTTGTATTTTTAGTAGAGACAGGGTTTCACCACGTTGGCCAGGCTGGCCTCGAACTCCTGACCTCAGGTGATCTGCCCGCCTCAGCCTCCCAAACTGTTGAGATTACAGGCGTGAGCCAGCGCTCCCGGCATTCTTTAACTTGTAGATGCATCACTCCAATCGTTGGCTCTGTTTTTTTTTTTCTTTTCTTTAGACAGGGTCTCACTCAGTTGCCCAGGCCGGAGTGCAGTGGTACCACCATAGCTCACTGCAGCCTCAACCTCCTGAGCTCAAGCAGTCCTCCCCGCAGCCTTCTGAGCAGCTAGGACTACAGGTGCACACCACCATGTTGGACTAATTAAAATAATTTCTGTTTTAGAGATGGGATCTTGCTATATTGCCCAGGCTAGTCTCCAACTCCTGGGCTCAAGCAATTCTCCTATCTTGGCATCCCAAAGCACTATGATTGCAGCCTGGCCTCTCTGCCTCTGTCTTCGCATGGCCGTCTTCCTTCTGTGTGTCTCTGTCTCTCTTTTTCTCTTCTTGTAAGTTATATTGGATTAGATACCCAGCCTACTCTAGTATGACCTCATCTTAGTTTAATTAATTACATCTGCAAAGATCAGACAATGCTATTTTCAAATAAGGTCACATTCGCAGGTCCTGGGAGTTACAACTTGAACTTCTCTTTTCAAGAAACACAAATCAGCCAGGTGTGGTGGCTCACGCCTGTAATCTCAGGACTTTGGGAGGCCCAGGCGGGCAGATCTCTTGAGGTCAGGAGTTTGAGACCAGACTGGCCAACATGGTGAAACCCCGTCTCTACTAAAAATACAAAAATTAGCTGGGCATGGTGGCAAGGACCTGTAATCCCAGCTACTCGGGAGGCTGAGGCAGGAAAATCGCTTGAACCTGGGAGGCAGAGGTTGCAGTGAGCTAAGATAGCACCGCTGCCCTCCAGCCTGGGTGACAGAGGGAGACTCCATGTCAAAAAAAAAAAAAAAAAAAGAAAAGAAAAAGAATATGGGAATTGGGCTGGGTGCAGGTAGCTCACACCTGTAATCCCAGCATGTTGGGAGGCCAAGGTGGGAGAATCACTTGAACTCAGGTGTTCGAGACCAGCCTGGGCAACATCGTGAGTCCTCATCTCTACAAAAAAATTTTAAAATCAGCCAGCGTGGTGGTGCATGCCTGTAGTCCCAGTTATTTGGGAGGCTGAGATGGATGGATCACTTGAGCCCAGGAGGTTGAGGCTGCAGTGAGCTGTGACTGCACCCTGGCACTCCAGCCTGGGCCACAGAGTGAGACCCTGTCTCAAAAAGAAAAAAGAATATAGGAATCACTGTTTGAACAGACGATGGGTGGATAGCAGAGATGAGATGACATGAATCTAAAAGCGGGATTTGGGGAGGGTCTCAAAACAGAGCCTGAGTCCTGGGATGCCCTGCCCACCCAGAGGCTGTTTCCTACCTGCCAATCCCAGCTAATCTCGCTGCCAACGCAGCTTCGGTCCATCGTGAGGCCTCCACCTCATTCCTCTGTGGTGAAGCTTGGTGGGGGGTCACGTTCTGTATCGGCACCTGTGTCAACAAGGAACCAATGTCCTGAGACACTGTCGTGGCTCTAGAGAATTTCTACCTAAATTCTACGTAACTTCACCCTGAAACAAGCCCCATGACTGACATCCCATTTTCCACCCAAGTTTAAGACGCTACCTTCCCAGCGGGGAATGTAGAGAACAGAACACAGAAGAGGGAGGGGATAATGTAAGTGGAAACCAAAGCTAAAGTGAGGAGAGTATTTGGGACCAGAAGACACGGGGAAGGGGGAGCAGATTCTCTCTATTGGAATTGAGCAAGAAAACCCTCCTCTCGGCCGGGCGCGGTGGCTGATGCCTGTAATCCCAGCACTTTGGGAGTCCGAGGCGGGTGGATCACGAGGTCAGGAGATCAAGACCATCCTGGCTAACACAGTGAAACCCCGTCTCTACTAAAAATACAAAAAAATTAATTAGCTGGGCTTGGTGGCGGGTGCCTGTAGTCCCAGCTACTCGGGAGGCCGAGGCAGGAGAATGGCGTGAACCCGGGAGGCAGAGCTTGCGGTGAGCCGAGATCGCGCCACTGCACTCCAGCCTGGGTGACAGAGCGAGACTCCATCTCGAAAAATAAAAAAAAAAAAAAAACCCACCACTCTCACTCCACGATAAAATAACCTTTGCATTATTTAAGTGGCAAGGGTAAAACTGCAATCAGGCCGGGCACGGTGGCTCATGCCTGTAATCCCAGCGCTTTGGGAGGCTGAGGCGGGTGGATCACTTGAGCTCAGGAGTTTGAGACCAGCCTGGGCAACATGGTGAAACCCCATCTCTACAACAACAACAACAAAAATTAGCTGGGCACGATGGCACACACCTGTAGTCCCAGCTACTCTGGAGCCTGAGGTACGAGTATCACTTGAACCCAGGGGGTGGAGGAGGTTGCAGTGAGCTGAGACTGCACCACTGCACTCCAGCCTGGGTGACACAGCGAGACTCTGTCTCAAAACAAAACAAAACACTGCAATCACAGAAAATACCAGAAAAAAGCATAGGTGAATGTTGAACAATTTCTAGATGGTGAAAGGATTACTCATGAAAGCAATTCAATACATCAGAAAAGGTTGCTGGGCCGGGGGCAGTGGCTCACGCCTGTAATCCCAGCACTTTGGGAGGCCGAGGCGTGTGGATCACCTGAGGTCAGGAGTTCAAGACCAGCCTGGCCAACATGGTGAGACCCTGTCTCTACTAAAAATGCAAAAATTAGCCAGGTGTGGTGGCGGGTGCCTGTAGTCCCAGCTACTCGGGAGGCTGAGGCAGGAAAATTGCTTGAACCTGGGAGGCGGAGGTTGCAGTGAACTGAGATCATGTCATTGCACTCCAGCCTGTGCAACAGAGCAAGACTACATTTCAAAAAAAAAAAAAAAAAAAGAAAGAAGAAGTTGCTGGAATTTTCTCCATACACGTAGCTTCTGAATGACAAACAATGGAACAAAAGTAAGAGGTAAGTCTGGGGAGATATCTGCCAAAAATATATACATATATGTAATACATATATTTAATATATATATTATATTTATATATGTATTATATGTAATATGTGTACATATACTTAATACATTTATTATATATAATACATATATACATTATATATATATATATATCTCAGACCTATAAAGAGCTAGTCATACGTTCTCTGCTGGATTTGTACTCAAGGACAAGCACATAATTTTTCTCTCATTGAGATTTCTCTTCCAGGGCTGTGTCTGGGCTACGAAGATGAGAAAAAGAATGGTGAGTTTTCTCCTACTTAAACTTTTATTCCTGCATCCCACGCTTCATGACCTTTTCCTTTAATCGTCTGAATTCTAGACTCAAATTAACTCTGAATTGTTTCCAGAGAAACCGCCCAAGCCCTCCCTCCACGCCTGGCCCAGCTCGGTGGTTGAAGCCGAGAGCAATGTGACCCTGAAGTGTCAGGCTCATTCCCAGAATGTGACATTTGTGCTGCGCAAGGTGAACGACTCTGGGTACAAGCAGGAACAGAGCTCGGCAGAAAACGAAGCTGAATTCCCCTTCACGGACCTGAAGCCTAAGGATGCTGGGAGGTACTTTTGTGCCTACAAGACAACAGCCTCCCATGAGTGGTCAGAAAGCAGTGAACACTTGCAGCTGGTGGTCACAGGTGAGAAGGGCAGATGTACTCTTTGATGCACACATTTCTTTGGTTTGGCTTTGCTTTTTTTTTTTTAAGACAGAGTCTTGCTGTGTCTCCCAGGCTGGAGTGCAGTGGCACGATCTCGGCTCACTGCAACTTCTGCCTCCTGGGTTCAAGCAATTCTCCCTCCTCAGCCTCCCGAGTAGCTGGGACTACAGGCGCCCGCCACCACGCCCAGCTAATTGTTTGTGTTTTTAGTAGAGATGGGGTTTCGCCATGTTAGCCAGGATGGTCTCCATCTCCTGACCTTGTGATCCACCTGCCTCCGCCTCCCAAAGTGCTGGGATTACAGGCATGAGCCACCGCGCCCGGCCTAATTTTTGTATTTTTAATAAAGATGAGGTTGTACCATATTGGTGAGGTTGATCTCAAACTCCTGACCTCAAGTGATCCATCTGCCTCGGCCTCCCAAAGGGCTGGGATTATAAACGTGAACCTCCACACCCAGCCTTTTTTTTTTTTTTGAGAGGGAGTCTTGCTCTGTTGCCCAGGCTGGAGTACAGTGGCATGATCTCAGCTCACTGCAACCCCCGCCTCCTGGGTTCATGCAATTCACCTGCCTCAGCCTCCCGAGTAGCTGGAACTACAGGGGTGCGCCACCACACCTGGCTAATTTTTGTATTTTAGTAGAGACAGGGTTTTACCATGTTGGCCAGGCTGATCTCGAACTGCTGACCTCAAGTGATCTGCCCACCTCAGCCTCCCAAAGTGCTGAGATTACAGGAGTGAGCCACTGCGCTCGGCTGCTTTTTTTTTTTTTGACAGAATCTCGCTCTGTCACCCAGGCAGGAGTGCAGTGGCATGAACACAATTCACTGCAGCCTCGACCTCCCAGGCTCAAGCGATTTTCCCACATCAGCCTCCCAAGTAGCTGGGAGTACAGGCAAGCACCACCATGCCTGGCTAATTTTTAAATTACTTGTTGAGACAGGATCTATGTTGCCCAGGCTGGTCTTGAACTCCTGAGCTCAGGTGATCCTCCTGCCTTGGCCTCCCAAAGTGCTGGGATTACAGGCGTGAGTCACCAAAGCCTGCCTGATGCACGTATTTCTTTTCCTGTCGTGGGACATGGCTGGGGAAGAAGGAATCTAGGAGACAAAAAGATAGATGCAGGCCAGGCACGGCGCGGTGGCTCATGCCTGTAATCCCAGCACTTTGGGAGGCAGAGGTGGGCAGATCACTTGAGGTCGGGAGTTCGAGACCAGCCTGGCCAACATGGTGAAACCTCACCTCTACTTAAAATACAAAAATTAGCTGGGCGTGGTGGCAGGCGCCTGTAATCCCAGCTACTAGGGAGGCTGAGGCAGGAAGAGAATCTCTTGAGCCCAGAAGGCAGAGGTTGTAATGAGCTGAGATTGTGCCACTGCACTGCAGCCTGGATGAAAGAGCAAGACTCCGTCTAAAAAAAAAAAAGAAGAAGAAGGATAGATGCAACACCTTCAATGTGGAAATGGGAACCGAATGTGGAGCAAGATTCTCATCAGAGATTCTGAGAGGGTCCCAATGATGTGGATGTGGGAGGGTGGTGTAGAATATGGTCAGTTAATAGAAAATTGGGGTATGGTAAGACTGACAGACCAAGTGATGATTGCCATGGAAAAGATGGTCTGTTACAGTTCCCAAGAGGAGGAGGAAGGCTATACTGGGGGGAGTATGTGGGGAAGCACCAGGGTCAATGAGGGGCAGAGGGAGGAGGAAGAACTGTGGACCAGAGCTTTGATTGTATTTTGTGGGGAGAACAAGATTAGAGTTGGCCAGGTGTGGTGGTTCATGCCTGTAATCCTAGCACTTTGGGAGGCCTAGGAGGGTGGATCACCTGAGGTCAGGAGTTTGACATCAGCCTGGGTAACATGGCGAAACTCCATCTCTACAAAAATACAATAATTACCTGGGTGTGGTGGTGTGCACCTGTGCTTTCAGCTACTCGGGAGGCTGAGGCACGAGAATTGCTTGAACCCCAGAGGCAGAGGCTGCGGTGAGCCAAGATCGTGCCACTGCACTCAAGCCTGGGTGATAGAATGAGAACCTGTCTCAAAAAAAAAAAAAAAAAAAAAAAAAGAAAAGAAAAGAAAAGAAAGAAAGAAAAGAAAAACAAAAAAAGAATTGGCTTTGGGGTGTAGAGGCTGTCCCTGGTTGTCTAGTTCTTGGACCTGGGGTGATTAGGAGAGGACAACATTGACCTTGAGTGTGAGAGCCCCATAATTAAGGTGGTTGAGAGTATGGGCTCTGGATCTATTGGCTTGCATTTGAGGGACATCCTTGAGGACAAGTTGTTTACTGGCTCTAGAAATTAACTAACCCTGCGAGGGGAGGTCCCACCAAGGGCAGCAAGGCCCCAAGATGTTAAAGCATCAAATGCAGAAGATGAAAGACATGGTTAATACGGAGAGATGGATGAGATAGTCCCCAAGTGCAGTAGAAAATGGAAAAGCCCTGGCCCTTCTCTTTACCTCCATTGCCTTGTCCTCTTCAGGATCACTCCCAGAACCTTTGCTCTCAGTCAATGTAGACCCTGGGATGACTCCAGGTCTCAGGACACTTCGATGTCTCACTCCATACAATGGAACCGAATGTATTGTAATTGCTCTGTTGAAAATGGGGATCCCAGAACCATTACAAGTCAGGCAAGTAAGAAAAAACCAGACTGATTTCATGCTCTGGAACGTGACAAGTAATGACAGTGGAAACTACAGCTGTGTGTATTACCTGAGCAACTCATCACACTTGGCCTCCTTCCCCAGCAACAAGCTGGAGATCTGGGTGACAGGTGAGGATAGAGTGATAACACTGGCATTTGACATGTATCCAGCATTTTCTATGTTCCTGTCTCCACGACAGGTAACTTGCCTCCACTAACTCATTCAGTCTTCACTTCCTATGAGGGTGGTTGTGTTACTAACTTCTTTTTGCTCATAGAGATTAGGTGACCTCCCCGGTGTCACAAAAACAATGAGCTTCACAGTTGCTATTCAGACATAAATGAAAATTTATATTTCATTATGCCAGAGAAGGAAAGCCAGAAAGAGTGTCCAGTGCTCTATGAGGGATGTAGGAATGGCAAATAATGGATTGTGGGGCTAAGAGATCCCATTGTGTGGAAAAGTATGGGAGGCACGGTGCAGGTAACTGAAAAAAAAATGATGAGGACCACAGTGAGAAGATGCACGTGGGAGGATTGTAACATACATGACTTGAGATCCCAAGGAAGAGGGATAAAGAATAATTTTGCATCACTTTCATCTACCCATTTATCTACTCACCCATCCATCTATCAATCTACCCACCCATCTATCAACCCACCCACCCATCTACCCACCTACCAACCCATCCACCCTCCTACCCACTCATTCACCCATCCATCCACTCACTTATCCATCTATCCATCAACTCATCCATCCATCCATCCATCCATCCATCCATCCATTCATCTATCCATTAATCCATCCAACCACCAACCCTTCCATTCATCTGTCCACCCACCCCTTCATCCATCTATCTACCTACCTACCCATCTATTTACCCAGCCACTCATTTGTCCATCCTTCCACCCATTCATCCACTCATCCACCCTTTCACCCATTCACTCACCCCCACCCACCTATCCATCTATCCATCCATCCATCCATCCATCCATCCATTCATCCATTCATTTATTAGTCACTAAACAATACCTCTCAACTGACCACAGTTGCTTCCAGTAGGTCAGTCCTGCCATATCATGGGAAATCCCTGGAGAGACTTTACAGTCATCAGTGTAGTGTAGAAGTAGCCGTGGGTCCACACCAATGACTTAGCCTGGGCTTGGGGCATGATGAGTAACTGAATACTTAATGTTTCACCTCTGATTTACCCTCTTTCTGAGGCTCTTGATCAATGATACTCCAACAAGGTGCTCATCACTTTGATATTGATTTCAAATTGTATTCCCCATAACTCGTTCTTGTAGTCTTAAGAATTTCTGCACCCACACTTTAGCCCTAAAAGCCTCGCGATTATTTGCCATTTCCCAATTATGTTCTCTGGCATATCATCTACTGTTTCCTGATTTCTTCACCTCTATCGCAGCTGTACCATTACATCACAAGACAGGCTATAGTATCAATTTCCAGTGGTTGATTTTCCAGGTCAGCCTTCCATATACAATCTGTTTGCTGCTTTGCAAATCACTTTATTATACTACTTTTTACTTTTTTATTATACTACTTTTTACTTATTACAAAATGGGCATATAAATGCTTCCATTACAAAAAAAAATTAATGCAAAATACCTGGCACAAAAATAGCTGCCCATTCACCCTACAAATTCAGATACTTTGGTAGATCCTGAGCATATTGTAGGAACTGAGACAGACCAGGTCTCTGGCCAACAGGAGCTCACATTCTTCTTTGGAAGAAAGAAAGAAATAAGAGCAAGCTATCAGAGTAATTAAAAAACACATTATAGATGGAGAATAACTGTGAGAGGCATTGTATTAGTGATCTACAGCTGCATAACAAATTACCACTAATTTAGCAGCCTGAAACACCTATTTATTATCTCACAGTTGATGTGGGTCAGGAGTCCAGGCACAGCTTAGCTGAGTCCTCTGCTTTGGGTCTCATAAGGATGCAATCAAGGTGTCAACAAGGGCTGTGTTCTCATCTGGCTCATCTGGAGGCTTGACTGGGGAAGGGTCCATTTCTCCACTCCTGTGGTTGATAGCAATATCTGGTTCTTTATAGCTGTAGGATTCATGCTAGAATGATTCTGCAGCACTTGCAAGAAGAGAGATTGAGAGAGAGAGAAGAAAGAGAGAGCAAATGCCCTAGCAAACAGAGTTTTATGTAATGTAACATAATCAAGAGCATAACATCCCATCACCTTTGCCATAGCTATTGGTGAGAAGAAAGTCACAGATCTCCACACTCAAGGTGAGGGGATTAGACAAAGGCATGAACACCAGGAAGCAGGGCTCCTGAGTCTCCTGAGTGCCCCCTTAGGGTCTATCTGCCACAAGCATGAAGGATGAGAATGACCCAACCACACCGATATCTGGAGAACAGCCCTCCAGGGAGAGAGAGCAGCAAAAGCAAAGTCTCAGAAGTGTGAGTGTTCCTGGAATGATTGAGACACAGAAAGGAGGACATAAGGCAGGGCCTAGAGCATCTAGGATCTTGTGGGTGTTTGAACTGGTCCTAGAGTCTGCTTTGAAAGAACAGGAACCCACTGATGAAGTTGAGCTGGAGGATGGCATGATTTTATTTATATGCTGGAAGGGTCACTGGCTGCTTTTTTTTTTTTTTTTTTTTTTGAGACAGGGTCCCACTCGGTTGCCCAGGCTGGAGTGCAGTGGTGCAATCACAGCTCACTGCAGCCTTGACCTCCCAGGCCCAGGTAATCCTCCCACCTCAGCCTCCCAAGCATCTGAGATTACAGGCACAGGCCATCATGCCCGGCCTCTGGCTGCTTTTGGAAAATAAGGGACTAGATGTAGTAAGAGTTGGTGCGTTTCAGGCAATACGACTTTTTAAATTTAAAAATATCAAATTGACAAATGAAGATTGTATATATTCAAGGTATACAATCTGATGATTTGATCCACCTGTACATTGTGTAATGATTATCACAGTCAAATTAATTAGCACATCCATTGCCACCATGCTGAGCACCTGAACTTCTTCATCTTAGAACTGGAAACTTATACCCTTTCATCAACATCTCCGCATATATCATGCTAAACAAAATAAGCCAGACTCAGAAAGACAAATTCTGCAGGATCTCACTCATATGTGTAGTCTAAAAAAGCCAAACTCACAGAAGCAACTGGTGGTTGCCAGGGACTGGTGAGTAGGTGATATTTCATTTCATTTTTATTTTTATTTTTATTTTTTTTTTGAGACGGAGTCTGGCTCTGTCCCTCAGGCTGGAGTGCAGTGGCGCGATCTCGGCTCACTGCAAGCTCCGCCTCCCGGGTTCACGCCATTCTCCTGCCTCAGCCTCCCGAGTAGCTGGGACTACAGGGGCCCGCCACCACGCTCGGCTAACTTTTTGTATTTTTAGTAGAGACGGGGTTTCACCATGTTAGCCAGGATGGTCTCGATCTCCTGACCTTGTGATCTGCCCGCCTCGGCCTCCCAAAGTGCTGGGATTACAGGCGTGAGCCACTGCGCCCGGCCAAGTAGGTGATATTTTAACTTAGACTAAATGGTGCCACTGTGGAGATAGAAATATAGGCCAGGTGCAGTGGCTCATGCCTGGAATCCCAGTATTCTGAGTGGCCAAGGCAGGTTGATCACTTGAGGCCAGGAGTTTGAGACCAGCCTGGCCAACATGGTGAAACCCTGTCTCTACTAAAAATACAAAAATTAGCAGGGTGTGGTGGCGGGCGCCTGTAGTCCCAGCTACTTGGAAGGCTGAGGCAGGAGAATCTCTTGAACCCGGGAGGCGGAGGTTGCAGTGAGCTGAGATCATGCCACTGCACTCCAGCTTGGGTAACAGTGCAAGACTCAAAAAAAATAAAAGAAAGAAAGAATTTGGGTGAATGGTGTTCTTTGTCAAGATAGAGAAGACTGGCAAGGAATCAAACTGGAGGGGGCGTTAGCAGGGTCATTCATAAATATTTTTGTTATTAAAAATACTATCAAACTCCAGGACTATTAAGAAGAGTAATCTGAGGCTCTGTCCATGCTCTGAGGACCCAGGGAGCATCTAGGGAATGGAGAAGCCATTCTCTTTTCTGCTTCCCAAAGAAGAACAGGATGTCTATAAGTAGGACGTGAGGACTCCTGTCCCCAAGGTTCCTGTATGATTAGTGTAATTCCTTTTCTTCCCTCCTATTTTCTAGATAAACACGATGAACTTGAAGCTCCCTCAATGAAAACAGGTAAGATAATTAGAAAGGAGATGTTTTTCCCAATGAGATCTGCTTCATGATCACCTTTGCTTAAAGTGCACAAGGAGAACTTTATTTATTTGTTTGTTTGTTTGTTTGTTTGTTTTTTGAGATAGAGTCTCGCTTTGTCACCAAGGCTGGAGTACAGTGGCGCAATCTCAGCTCACTGCAACCTTCGCCTCCCGGATTCAAGCAATTTTCCTGCCTCAGCCTCCCGAATAGCTGGGACTACAGGCACGCACCACCACACCCAGCTAATTTTTGTATTTTTAGTAGAGACGGGGTTTCACCATGTTGGCCAGGCTGGTCTCGAACTCCTGACCTTGTGATCTGCCCGCCTCAGCCTCCCAAAGTGCTGGGATTACAGGCGTGAGCCACCGCACACGGCCTATTTATTTTTTTGAGAAAGAGTCTTGTTCTGTCCCCCAGGGTGGCGTGAAGTGGCACAATCTCAGCTCACTGCAACCTCCACTTCCTGGGTTCTGGGTTCAAGCAATTCTCCTGCCTCGGCCTCCCGAATAGCTGGGATTACAGGCACCCACCACCATATCCAGCTCAGTTTTGTTTTTTGTTTTTTGTTTTTAGTAGAGATGGGGTTTCACCATGTTGGCCAGGCTGGTATCAAACTCCTGACCTCAAGCAATTCCCCCGCCTCGGCCTCTCAAAGTGTTGGGATTACAGGCATGAGCCACCGCACCCGGCCTAGAAGAACTTTAAAGCCCATTTTCTCAATGTTATTGGGGAAACTGCTGTGTTTTGGGGGGTGGAGGATGAGGGGAGATAACCTCTAAAGTGCTTCCGGGTTCTGAAGAAGCTGGTGTGTAAAACAGCACAGAGTGCGTTGTTTGCCATATGACATGATGAAAAACTAGGGTGGGATTTGGGGAATAATGGGGGTGAATTTTTCAGTGACCCATTTGGGGAGTAGGACCAGGACCTACGCAGAGTAGGTACTTCAGGAATATATATAATCAAGAGTTTGTTATAACTCTAAAATTCTCAAAAATAGGTGAATATTGAATTTTTTTTCTAATGTTGCTTATTCATTAACAATTGACTAAGATTCTGTCCTCAGAGTTTCTCATAAAAATTAGAGCTTTTGGGCCAGGCGAGGTGGCTCACATCTGTAATCCCAGCACTTTGGGAGGCCGAGGTGGGCGGATCACCTGAGGTCAGGAGTTCGAAACCAGCCTGGGCAACATGGTGAAACCCTGTCTCTACTAAAAATACAAAAATTTGCTGGGCATTGTGGTGGGCGCCTGTATTCCCAGCTACTCAAGTGACTGAGGCAGGAGAATTGCTTGAACCTGGGAGGCAGAGGTTGCAGTGAGCCGAGATTACACCACTGCCCTCCAGCCTGGGCAACAGAGTGAGACTCTGTCTCCAAAAAAAAAAAAAAAAAAAAAAAATTAAAAAGTTAGAGCTTTTGGCAGCATTCGGCTGAAACAGGAACTCATCCAGACTTTAAGGGCCAAATGCAGAATATAAATTGGCATCTAGATGCTTAATCATCCTTCCTTTCAGCAAGTCATAATCTTCCTGCAACCTACTCCAAAGAGCCAAAGTTGCTGAAGGTTGTTGCTAGCAGTCTGTGCTGGTATAATCGGTTTTCAAAAAGGTATCCTCCAAAGTGTTCTTGCAAGATAACTATTTGAAACGTTTTTATTCCATGATAGTAGGCTTGGGAAATGTCTGCTACCCTAGCACTACGAACACAATTCACGTCAGGAACGTTTTCTGAGAAAGATATGAAATCTAATGGGAGAGAGGAACACAGAAGTATCAGAAACGAGGTGGGAGATCTAGTGAGGTGTGAGGGGGAGGAGGAAGAGAAGCTTTTCTATTTTGAGCTCTTGTATCATTTATTTTCTTTCTTTTTTTATTGATATATAATTCACAGTCCAAAAATTCACCCTTGTAAAGTGTCCAATTCACTGGCATTTTGTATCTTCATGAGGTAGTATAACCATCACCACTACATAATTCCAGAACATTCTCATCACCCTAAAAGAAAATCTTGTACCCATTAAGCAGTCACTCCTCATTTCCCACTTTCCCACCAGGCCCTTCCAACCATTCATATGCTTCTCTGTGTCTATGATTTTGTCTATTCTGGACATTTTGTGTAAGTGGATTCATACACTATGTGATCCTTTGTGACTAGCTCCTTTCTCTTTAGCATAATGTTTTCAAAGTTTGTCTGTACTGTAGCATGCATCAATGTTTCATTTCTTGTCATGGTGAAAAGCATCGTATTGTATGGATAGACCACATTTTGCTTATCCATTCTTTTTTTTGTTTTTGTTTTTGTTTTTTTGAGACGGAGTCTTGCTCTGTCGCCCAGGCTGGAGTGCAGTGGCACAATCTCAGCTCACTGCAACCTCCGCCTCCCAGGTTTAAGTGATTCTTTTGCCTTAACCTCCTGAGTAGCTGGACCTACAGGCGCCCGTCACCATGCCTAGCTAATTTGTGTATTTTTAGTAGAGAGGGGGTTTCACCATGTTGGCTAGGCTGGTCTCGAACTCCTGACCTCAGGTGATCCACACGCCTCAGCTTCCCAAAGTGCTGGGATTACAGACTTGAGCTACTGTGCCTGGCCCCGTTCTTCTTTTGATGGACATTTGTGTTGTCTGCACCTCTTGGCTAAAGCGAGTAATGGTGCTGGAACACTGTGGTAGGAGTATCTGTTTGTCTCCGCGCTGTAAATTATCTTGAGTATGTACCTAGAAGTGGATTTGCTAGGACATATGGTGACTATTATGTTCAACTTTTTGAGGAACTGCCAAATCATTTTCCATTGTGGCTGTATCATGTTATATTCCTTCCAGTAATATATGTGGGTTCCAATATCTCCACATCCTTGTCAACACTTACTTTTCTTTTTTTAAATTATAGCCATCCCAGTGGGTATTATATAATTTCTTAAAATGTACTTTTTGAGTTCAAATTTGTATCATCACAATTCTAAACAGAATAAAATATCTTTGCCGGGCGCAGTGGCTCACGTCTGTAATACCAGGACTTTGGGAAGATGAGGCAGGAGGATCACTTGAGCCCAGGGGTTCAAGACCAGCCTGGACAACTTGGTAAGATCCCATCTCTACAAAAAATACAAAAATTAGCCAGGCGTGGTGGTGTGCACCTGTAGTCCCAGCTACTTGGGAGGCTCAGGCAGAAAGATCGTTTGCGCCCAGGAGGTTGAGGCTTCAGTGAACTGTGATTGCGCCACAGCACTCCAGCCTGGGTGACAGAGCGAGACCCTGTTTCAGTAAATAAATAAAATAAAAGTAAAATATCTGTAAGCACAGGTATGATGTCCCCAGCCTGTATTTATATGCCTAAAACACACTAGAAAACGACTCTATGTTCAATCGCAATGTAGAGAATGAAGATGAATTTTATCACACAAGACTTGACTTTCTTTCTGGTGCCTGTGCCTCCATTTATGCCCCGTGTCAGGCTGTATCTTGTTGCTCACGCTGACTTTAGTAGCGTAGCAAGTTATGATTTATTCTGGCAATTTGCAAATACTGATGCAACATTTGGCCAGGATCTGTGGACATCTCAGGGTGAACCCAGTTCAGCTGATTATGGGGTCATATGAAGATGAGAATTTTGCAATAATGTACTTCTCATTTCTAGTGAATTGCTGTGTGAAAGATACCGTAGGCTGGAAAAGGGGAGAACAGAAAGGACAAGGCAAGGCTGCTGTTTCTCTGCTTCCATCTGGGGAAACTGAGAGTCCAGGAGCAGCTGTTCCTGCCCTGTTTTCATAAGTCCTTGGAGATGCACTGATAGAATTGTTGCTTATGGCCAGGCATGGTGGCTTATGTAATCCCAGCACTTTGGGAGGCCAAAGTGGGCAGAACACTTGAGCTCTGGAGTTTGAGACCAGCCTAACCAACATGGTGAAACCTCATCTCTACTAGAAATATAAAAAATTAGCGGGGTGAGGTGGCGGGTGCTTGTAATCCCAGCTCCTTGGGAGGCTGAGGCAGGAGAATTGCTTGAACCCCAGAGGGGGAGGTTCCAAAGCCGAGATTGTACCACTGCACTCCAGCCTGGGAGACAGAGTGAGACTGTCTCAAAAAAAAAAAAATTGTTGCTTTTGAGGGGTTCTCTGATTCAGCTCCACCAGAAGCAGGCTCTTAGACAGCATTAGTGTGAAAGTGACGTTTTATTTTATTTATTATTTATTTAGTTTTGAGACAGAGTTTCGCTCTTGTTGCCCAGGCTGGAGTGCAATGGCGTGATCTTGGCTCACTGCAACCTCCGCCTACCAGGTTCAAGAGATTCTCCTGCCTCAGCCTCCCAAATAGCTGGGATTACAGGCATGCACCACCACACCCAGCTAATATTCTATTTTTAGTAGAGACGGGGTTTCTCCATGTTGGTCAGGCTGGTCTCGAACTCCTGACCTCAGGTGCTCTGCCTGCCTCGACCTCCCAAAGTGCTGGGATTACAGGTGTGAGCCACCACGCCTGGCTTGAAAATTACATTTTAGGGAGTGGGGAAGAAGGGCTGGGAGGAAAATAGATTAAACAAGTGTGGGATATCTGTGTCCCTCAGATGGTATCTTTGGCTCCATCCTGCAGAAAGCAGTGGAGACAGAGAAGGTCGAAGACCAGAGGCTAGGGAGCTGGGGTCCCCACAGCCGTCAGTGGCAGTTTGTCCCGGGCATGTAAATTCCAAGGCATTTGGAGTTCTCCCAGGCAGTCCCCCAAAGAAGAGATACAAATGTTCACTTTGGAAAGGGAAAGAAGCCACGATCTAGAATGCATAAAAATGGGAAAGGGATCTGGGGAACATGGGTTGAGGAACATTGACAGAATCTATTACAGAGAGAGATGGGTGTAGGTGGAATATTGGGTGAAAAAAAATCATCATTATACCTACAATCCCATTATCCGACACAATGAGTCAGTTTCTAGACTGAGCGCTTTAAAGCCAGGATTTTTCATCATTACCTAACTCTTCAAGTTAGATATTATTAGCTCTCTGCCCCCTCCTTATATTTAACCAAAAAATAACGTATTCCAGAAAGGGAAGGGAACATTTACAAAGTCAGGAGGTAGGAGACCCAGTACTAGAACTCAAATATGTCTTGTTTCAAACTCCCCACTCCTTTTGCTGCTCCCTGATGATCAGCTCAGAAAGAACCTTATTTCAGGGAGGGGGATAGATAGATAATTAGATGTGATAGATAATAGGCAAGTAGGCAGATAAATAGATAACTAGATATGATAGATTAGATAGATACATAGATGATAGGTAGATAAGTAGCTAGATACGATGGACAGATTAGATAGATAGACAGATGATAGGTAAGTAGGTAGATAGATAACTAGATACAACAGGTTAGATAAGTAAGTAGATAGATAACTAGATATGATAGATTAGATAGATAAATAGACGATAGGTAAGTAGGTAGATAGATACAGATAGATTAGCTAGCTAGCTAGATGATAGATAACTAGATATAATAGATAAGATAGATGATTAGATAGACAGATAATTAGATATGATTGATAGATACATTAGATAGATGATAGATTAGATAGATAGATGATAGGTAACTAGGTAGCTAGATAAAGCTAGCTAGATAGATAGATAGATATACAGATACACAGATAGATACATAGATACCTAGATAGGTGATAGAGTTGCAAGATAGAAAAATTAGATAAGTAGGTGGATAGATAGATAGATAACTAGATAGAATAGATTAAATAGATAATAGTAGGTGAATAGACAGATACATACAGATGATAGATGATAGATGATAGATAACTGGTTATGATTGATAGATACATTAGATAGATGATAGATTTGGTAACTAGATGATAGGTAAGTCGGTAGATAGATAAGTGATAATTAGATATGATAGGATGGATAGATTAGACAGACAGCAGGTAAGCAGGTGGATAGACAGATAAAGATAGATACATAGATGCCTAGATAAGTGATAGATTAACAAGATAGAAAAATTAGACAGACAGATAGTTAATTACATATGATAGGATAGATAGATTGGATAGGTGATAGGCAAGTAGGTAGATAGATAAATCATAATTAGATAGGACGGATAGATTGGATAGATGATAGGTAAGTAGGTACAGAGACAGATAAAGATAGATAGGTAGATAGATAATAGATACCTAGACAGATGGTAGATAGATTAGCGAGATAGATAAATTAGATAGGTAATTCTCTATATATAGATATGTAGAAATGCCAATGCAAACATAGCGAACCAAGTAGGGGAAGCGTCTGGATGGGAGACCCTCTGTTGGTGCAGAGGACCAGGCGTGTGAAGCATCTCAGACTTGGCTCTGTAATGTGACCACAGATCATTGCACACCTAGGAAAAATTCTCAGACTCAAAGCACACTAACAAAGATAGCGGGGGTCTTGGTGAAGCCCCTTTCTGGGGCCTCACTTCTATAGTTGCTCAACTTTTTTCCTTAATCACGTTTCTGCTACTTACTCCTTAAAGTCTCACGACTTGTGTTTCTTGAATCTAAAGTGCCAAGAAAAACAAAAAACGGGGGGGAACTGCATGGACTCTGTCGCCTAGCTTTAGTAACAGGTTGCTCTCTCTTCCTCAACGCTGTGAGCTTTGGACACAACCCTTGCTGTAATCCCAGGAGTCACACGGGAATGCATGCCCTTCACCAGTGGGAGGGAAATAATTGTACTACCTTGCAGGGTTGTTGTTAAGACTTTAAAACGCTATGATGTAGACTTGCATGGCAATATTGCTCAAGAACTAGTTTTTTTTGTTTTGTTTTGTTTTTGTTTTTTAATTGGTAGAAATTTTATCTCCTGAGAGGGATGCTTTTTTGAGTTGGAGTCTTGGTCAGTTGAGTGTATGATGCAGTGATGCGATCTCGGCTCACTGCAACCTCCGCCTCCCAGGTTCAAGCAATTCTCTTCTCTCAGCCTCCTGAGTAGCTGGGACTACAGGCGTGCGCCACCATGCCCAGCTTATTTTTTATATTTTCAGTAGAGACAGGGTTTCACCATGTTGGCCAGGCTGGTCTCGAACTCCAGACCTCAAGTGATCCACCTACTTCACTCTCCCAAAGTGCCAGGATTACAGGCGTGAGCCACCGTGCCCGGCCACTGGTCATTCTTTTCTACCCTGCTCTAACCCTGTTCTTATTAGGAATCCTCCCTGAATTCTCCCAGCTGATCCCTTGTTCTGTGTCTTGGGGAATCATGTCTCCTTCAGAGAGCCCCACCCCTCCCCACTCTAAACGCCTTCCATGCCCGTGTCACTGCTGTTCATTACCTGGCATCAACGAGCTCATTGAAGTGTGTTTGAAGTTGGCTGGGCGTGGTGGTCTGTACTCCCAGCTACCCTGGAGGCCGAGTGAGGAGGACCACTTGAGCCCAGGAATTCGAGTATGATCACACCACTGCACTCTAGCCTGGGCAACAATGGGAACCCATTGGCACATCTGGGATTGGCATCCTGAGCTCCCATCTGTGACCTCCCTCCTCTCCCCTCCTCTCCCCTCCATTGCCCTCACCCTCTCCCCATAATCTTCACATCCCGTCCTTTCACATCTCTCTCTCTCCTTTAAAAAAAGAAAAAGGAAATATGTTTGAAGTTAAGAGCTGAGATCATGTCTGTGTTAGCCAGGGTTTTCCAGAAAAACAGAACCAATAGAACATATAGATATAAGCTGGGTGTGGTGGCTCACGCCTGTAATCCCAGCACTTTGGGAGGCCGAGGCAGGCAGATTGCCTGAGGTCAGTAGTTCAAGACCAGCGTGGCCAACATGGCGAAACCCCGTCTCTACTAAAAATACAAAAATTAGCCGGGCGTGATGGTGGGCACCTGTAATCCCAGCTACTCAGGAGGCTAAGGCAGGAGAATTGCTTGAACCCGGGAGGCGGAGCTTGCAGTGAGCCAAGATTGCACTATTGCACTCCAGCCTGGACGATAAGAGTGAGACTTTGTCTCAAAAAAAAAAAAGAGAACATATACATGTATATACATATATGGAGAGAGAGATTGATTTTAATGGATTGGTTCACGTGATTGTGGGGAGCTGGCAAGTCTGAAATCTGCAGGGCAGGCAGGCAGGGGATCCAGGGGAGACTTGATATTGCAGCTTGAGTCTGGAGGCAGAATTCCTTCCACCTTGGGGGACCTCAGTCTTTTCTCTTAAAGTCTTAAAGTCTTCAACTGATTGGATGAGGCCCACCCCTATGACAGTGGGTCATCTGCTTTACTCAAAGTCTATTGGTCGAAATGTCCAGCTCCAAGGAAGTTCCAGCTCCAAGGTGGGAGATCCAGGCTTGGAAGCCAGGCCATCTGTCTGGCTTCTCTTAGCTTTTCTACTCACCCCATCAGTGGATTTCAGACAGTGATTACACAGACAGATGTGGTGGCTCACGCCTGTAATCCCAACTACTCAGGAGGCTGAGTCAGGAGAATTGTTTGAACCAGGGAGGTGGAGGTTGCAGTGAGCCAGGATCACACTCCAGCCTGGGTGACAGAACACGACTCCATCTCAAAAAAAAAAAAGTGTGTATATATATATATATATGTATATATATATATATATATATATATATATATACACATTTATATATACACACACATATATATACATTTATATATATATATACACACACACACACGTATATATATATATGGAGCACCTGGAACAGAGCTGGCTCACAATAAATGATCAATATCATTGCTATGCACCAAACATTCCCTGGGAATTTTTGGAATTTCCTATGCGCCAAGCACTGTTCCAGCCCTTTCTATAGGTACTGACCCACCATCCAATAAAGTAGCTACTGCTGCTATCCTCACTTTACAGATGGGGAAACAGAAGCTTGGAGAAGATTAAGGAAATTCCCCAAAGCAATAGGAAGTTCCAGCTCCGAGGTGGGAGATCCAGGCTTGGAAGCCAGGCCATCTGTCTGGCTTCTCTTAGCTTTTCGGCTCGCCCCTATCAGTGGATTTCAGGAGCCAGGCTGATTCCCTGACCTGCTCTTCCCCCTCCAGACACCAGAACCATCTTTGTCGCCATCTTCAGCTGCATCTCCATCCTTCTCCTCTTCCTCTCAGTCTTCATCATCTACAGATGCAGCCAGCACAGTGAGCTCAGAGAACGCAAAGGGAGAGAGGGGGAGTGAAGGATTTTCTCGGTAGGTAAATTCCTCCTGCATTTTTTGTAGGTTCATCATCTGAGGAATCCACCAAGAGGTAGATGCTTGGCATAGCTCATGCTCCACTTATTCCCATGTCATTCTCAAGGGAACCCATTGGCACATCCGGGATTGGCACCCTGAGCCCCCACCCCAGCCCATTCTGTGACCTTCCTCCTCTCCCTTCTTCTCCCTTCCTCTCCCCTCCATTGCCCTCACCCTCTCCCCGAAATCTTCACATCCCATCCTTTCACGTGTGTCTCTCTCTTTCAGAACCAGCCATTCCAAACTTCCGGAGCAGGAGGCTGCCGGTAAGGGACAGGGGAAGTTTAAGGGAATCACCGGATAGAAAGACTAAGTTCTGACTTCTGCAGCTGAGAACTGATTTTTTTTTTTCCTTTCTCACTCAGAGGCAGATTTATCCAATATGGAAAGGGTATCTCTCTCGGTGAGTCCTCCCGCTTAGGAGTCCCACAAGAGCTCCCTCACCACAATGGGCTGGTCGTGTGTGCCTCCTGGTTAAGCCCATACAGAAATGTATACTGTTTATCACGCATGTGGTCTTAGACAAGTCACGAAACTCCCCTAATGGGAACCAAAATCTCCATTTAAAAGGCTTATGCATGGGCCGGGCGCGGTGGCTCACGCCTGTAATCCCAGCACTTTGGGAGGCCGAGGCGGGCGGATCATGAGGTCAGGAGATCGAGACCATCCTGGTTAACATGGTGAAACCCCATCTCTACTAAAGATACAAAAAATTAGCTGGGCGTGGTAGTGGGCGCCTGTAATCCCAGCTACTCAGGAGGCTGAGCCAGGAGAATGGCTTGAACCCGGGAGGCGGAGGTTGCAGTGAGCCGAGATCACGCCACCGCACTCCAGCCTGGGCGACAGAGCCAGACTCTGTCCCAAAATAAATAAATAAATAAAAATTTAAAAAAAATGAAAAAAGGCTTACGCAGATCCATTGATGTCACAGGCATAAAGGGTTATAAAAACAGAAAAGAAAAAGAAATGCATCTGGTGTGACCGAGGACCTGGGTTTTAAATTAAATTTAATTGTAATTAACTTAAATGTCAATAGCCATGTGTGGCTAGTGGCTGCCATATTGAACACTCAGTTCTAATATTCATCTATTTTCTCCAAAGACGGCAGACCCCCAAGGAGTGACCTATGCTGAGCTAAGCACCAGCGCCCTGTCTGAGGCAGCTTCAGACACCACCCAGGAGCCCCCAGGATCTCATGAATATGCGGCACTGAAAGTGTAGCAAGAAGACAGCCCTGGCCACTAAAGGAGGGGGGATCGTGCTGGCCAAGGTTATCGGAAATCTGGAGATGCAGATACTGTGTTTCCTTGCTCTTCGTCCATATCAATAAAATTAAGTTTCTCGTCTTAAAAAGAAATCTGACTTATTTATGGATTATTCATGCCCAAGAACCCCACCATACTCTTTCTACCCCACATTTCCTCCTAGAACAATTCAAGGAAATAATAAATAATGATTGACCAGCTATCCAGGAAAGAATGTAAGAATTACTGAGCATCTCCAGGAAGCACAACAAGCAAAAAAGAAAACGGCCGGGCTCACGCCTGTCATCCCAGCACTTTGGGAGGCCGAGGTGGGTGGATCATCTGAGGTCAGAGTTCAAGACCAGCCTGACCAACATGGTGAAATCCCATCTCTACTAAAAATAAAAAATTAGTTGGACGTGGTGGCAGGCGCCTGTAATCCCCGCTACTTGGGAGACTGAGGCAGAAGAATCGCTTGAACCCAGGAGGCAGAGATTGCAGTGAGCTGAGATGGCGCCATTGAATTCCAGCCTGGGCAATGGAGTGAGACTCCATCTCAAAAAAAAAAAAAAAAAAAAACAAAAAACGCCCAGAGCTGCAAACTCCTAGACCAGAGGGCAGAAAACAAAAGGACCAGAGAGTAACACGTCCAGCTTTGTGGGCTGTAGGATCTCTGCTGAGACTACCCCACTCTGCTGTTGTACCATGAAAGCAGCCATCGCTGATATGTAAACAAGTAGGTGTGGCGGTGTTAGAATAAAACTTTATTTACAACTTCATGTTCTCACTCATGTAGGAGCTAAAAAAGTAGATCTCATGAAGGTAAAGAGAGAGTCAGTTATCAAAGGCTAGAAGGGGTGGGATAGTTAATGGGCACAAACACAGTTGGATAGAAGGAATAAGTTCAAGTGTTCAATAGCACAGAAGGGTGACTATAGTTAACAGCAATATATTGTATATTTCAAAATAGCTAGAAGAGAAGATTTGAAACATTCCCAACACAAACGATAAATGAGCCAGGTGCAGTGGCTCACTCCTGTAATCCCAACACTTTGAGAGGCCAAGATGGGTGGATCACCTGAGGTCAGGAGTTCAAGACCAGCCTGGCCAACAAGGTGAAACCCCATCTCCACTAAAAATACAAAAATTAGCTGGGTGTGGTGGCGCACACCTGTAATCCCAGCCACTTGGGAGGCTGAGGCAGAAGAATTGCTTGAACTCGGGAGGCAGAGGTTGCAGTGAGCCAAGATCACACCACTGTACTCCAGCCTGGGCGACAGAGAGAGACTCTGTCTCGAAAAGATAAAAAAAAAGATAAATGTTTGAGGTGGTGAATATCCTAAATACCCTAATTTGAGTATTATACATTCTGTGCATGTATCAAACTATCACATGTATGTCATAAATATGCATAAATATTATGTATCTATAGAAAGTTTTTTTTTTTTTGATGGAGTCTTGCTCTGTCGCCCAGGCGCCAGAGTGCAGTGGCGTGATCTCAGCTCGCTGCAACCTCTCCCCGCAGGTTCAAATGATTCTCCTGTCTCAGCCTCCTGAGTAGCTGGGATTACAAGCTTCTGCCATCACACCAGGCTAATTTTTTTGTATTTTTAGTAGAGATGGGGTTTCACCATGTTGGCCAGGCTGGTCTTGAGCTCCTGACCTCAAGTCATCCGCCTGCCTCGGCTTCCCATAGTGCTGGGATTACAGGCGTGAGCCACCGTGCCCAGCCCAGAAAGTTGTTTTAAAAACAAAAAATTTTATTTGCAAAAACAAGCTGTGGGCTCTAGCGTGCCAACCCTTGTGCTAGGCCAGTGCTTTTTAAAGTCTGCTTGGGCCATCACCCCAACCACTTCTGGCCCTGATGAGGGTCCAGGGCATGAGAGGGAAGGAGAGAGTGTCTTAGTCCATCCAGGCTGCTATCAACATACCAAAGACCTGGCAGCTTACAGACAACACATAGTTATTTCTCATGGTTCTGGAGGCTGGAAGTCCAAGACCAAAGCACTGGTAGATTCAGTGTCTGCTGAGGGCTTTTTTCCTGGTTCATAGCTGGCACCTTCTTGCTGTGTCCTTACATAGTGAAAGAGACTGGGCCGGGCGCAGTGGCTCACGCCTGTAATCTCAGGACTTTGGGAGACCGAGTGGGGGGCGGATCACCTGAGATCAGGAGTTCGAAACCAGCCTGACCAACACGGTGAAACCCCATCTCTACTAAAAATATAAAAATTAGCTGGGCGCAGTGGTGGGTGCCTGTCATCCCAGCTACTTGGGAGGCTGAGGCAGGAGAATTGCTTGCACCTGGGAGGCGGAGGTTGAAGTGAGCCGAAATCGTGCCACTGCACTCCAGCCTGAATGACAGAGCCAGACTCCATCTCAAAAAAAAAAAAAAAAAAAAGAGTGAAGGCTTAATAAGCAAAAGAAAGAGAAAAGAGAATAGTTCTCTCTTTTGCACAGAGAAGAGAGGGGTTCCCGAGTGGGACCCCTGGTTTTGTGGTGAAATGCATGGGGCTTTTATAGACAAGCTTGAGGAGGTGCTGTCTGATTTACATAGGGCCTGAGAGATTAGTCGGACCAGGTATGACGTTTGCATAGCCCCCAAAGAAGCTGGCCATCCCACCCTAATCTTTTATTACGTAGGTAGGGTCTCTGCCTGGCCGGGGCCATGTTGTCTGCTTTTTTACTGCACATGTGGGGACAAAGAAAAGGGAAGAGGGAACCTCCATGTTGAATATACCCGGCTCCCAGGCATCCGTTTTCTATTGGCACAGCTGATGCAAGATTTTAGCTTGTTTATCTATGCTTGCAGCTTGATGTTTCAGGCTGCTTTCTGTTAGAAAAGAAATTATTTGGGGGCTGCTCTTTATTAATAGGAAACCTTACTGAGGACTCTCTTACCCTCACTGTCTGCCTCAATAATTTCTTTTTAGCTCCCGTATTACAAATACCATCACCTTGGGGTTAGGTTCCAACAGCTGAATTTTGTCGGGACACAAACATTGAGTTTACAATACCCATGAAGCTGTCTCTGCTTGTATCTTGTCCTAACCAGAAGCTCCCAGGATTGCTGCATCTGAAGGAACAACCTTGATATATGGCTTGTGTCTGTGTCCCCACCCAAATCTCATCTTCAGTTGTAGCTCCCATAATTCCCATGTGTTGTGGGATGGACCCAGTGGGAGATAATTCAATCATGGGGGTGGATTCCTGCAGGGTCCTATGGGGCTTTGCAGGTGTTCTCCCCGTGTGCAGAGATAAGAGATTGTAAGAAATAAAGACACAAGACAAAGAGATAAAGAGAAAACAGCTGGGCCCGGAGGACCACAACCATCAAGACGCGGAGACCGGTAGTGGCCCATAACGGCTGGGCGCGCTGATACTTATTGCATACAAGATAAGGGGGCAGGGTAAGCAGGGTGAATCTTCGAAGTGATTGACAAGGTGAAGCAAGTCGTGTGATCACAGGAGAGGGGGCCCTTCCCTCTTAGGTAGCCGAAGCAGAGAGAGAGGGAGAAGGCAGCATACGTCAGCGTTTTCTTCCATGCACTTATAAGAAAGATCAAAGACTTTAAGACTTTCACTATTTCTTCTACCGCTATCTACTATGAACTTCAAAGAGGAGCCAGGAGTACGGGAGGAGCATGAAAGTGGACAAGGAGTGTGAGCACTGAAGCACAGCACCACAGGGAGGGGTTTAGGCCTCCGGATGACTGCGGGCAGGCCTGGATAATATCCAGCCTTCCACAAGAAGCTGGTGGAGCAGAGTGTTCCCTGACTCCTCCAAGGAAAGGAGACTCCCTTTCACCGTCTGCTAAGTAACGGGTGCCTTCCCAGACACTGGCGTTACCGCTTGACCAAGGACCCCTCAAGCGGCCCTGATGCACGCGTGACAGAGGGCTCACCTCTTGCCTTCTAGGTCACTTCTCACCATGTCCCTTCAGCACCTGACCCTATACCCGCCGGTTATTCCTAGGTTATATTAGTAATGCAGCAAAGAGTAATATTAAAAGCTAATGATTAATAATGTTTATAATAATGATTGATAATTGTCCATGATCATCTCTACATCTAATTTGTATTATGACTATTCTTATTCTATTTTCTTTATTATACTGCAACAGTTTGTGCCTTCAGTCTCTTGCCTCAGCACCTGGCTAATCCTCCACCCACACATTCCCCCATGCCGTTCTCATGGTAGTGAACAAGTCTCAGGAGAGCTGAGGTTTTTATAACGGGTTTCCCCTTTTGCTTGGCTCTCTCATTTCTCTGTCGTCTGCCACCATGTAAGATGTGCCTTTCACCTTCTGCCATGATTGTGAGGCCTCCCCAGCCATGTGGAACTGTAAGTCCGTTATACCTCTTTTTTAAAAAGTAAACTGACTGGGCGCAGTGGCTCACGCCTGTAATCCCAGCACTCTGGGAGGCCGAGGCGGGTGGATCATGAGGTCAGGAGATCGAGACCATCCTGGATAACACAGTGAAACCCCGTCTCTACTAAAAATACAAAAAATTAGCCGGGCGCGGTGGCGGGCGCCTGTAGTCCCAGCTACTCAGGAGGCTGAGGCAGGAGAATGGTGTGACCCCGGGAGGCGGAGCTTGCAGTGAGCGGAGATCGTGCCACTGCACTCCAGCCTGGGTGACAGAGTGCGTCTCAAAAAAATAAATAAATAAAAATAAAAATAAAAATAAATTACTCAGTCTCAGGTATGTCTTTATCAGCAGTGTGAAAACAGACTAACGCAAACTTCTTCGCTCCCCCTCCCCTCACTACACAGTCCCAGGTTGCAGTGTGGAGGCCACATAGGGAGTAGCAAGGTGGGGAGGAGTGTCTCTTTGTTTTCTTGCCACAGAGAGTCATTCTTTTTTAAGCTTGGGAGTTCTTGGTGGCCATCTGTCTCGCCATGTGGAGGAAGCCAGTCTTTATGGAGAAACACAAAGATGACTCAGGGAGCATCCGGGAAGCGGGAGTGAGTAACAGTGCTTTCAGCTTTTGTTTTCTTGGTTCTAATTGCTTCCAAAGCTCAGCATTCCTTCACTCCCTGCAGTTTTCTTGCCCAATCCTTCTTGAACCAAAAAAACCCAAAAAGTCCTCCTTTGATTCTAAGCTATTCTGAGAATGGATTTTGTTTTGATTGAAGGGTCCTGGCAAACATTATTAAAATGGGTGGCCCTAATGGATATCCTTTATGGACATCTATGCTGGTAGTCACACTCACTGAATTACCATAGTGAGGACTCAGCTCTGATTTTTTTTTTTTATCTTGCCCAGATTCTTATCTAAGGGGTCTGGGGTCTCATGCCCTACAAACCATAAATTCTCATCAGATGGGTTTTATTTAGCCCTATATATCGTGACTTACTTTCCAATCTGACTCTGGCATAACATTACCTAACAAAGAAGAAAATAAAAATATTTTACCCCAAAACATGTTTCTTTGCCATATTTTTAAATGGCCCTGCAAAGCTGTCCTTGGTGGGGGGGAATATTTGCATATGTAAAGGATCTCTGTTAACATTGCTAGATCTTTTTCCTCCAGGACCTCCCAATCCTGAGGAGGTTAACTGAGAATCTAGCAACTTTTGAAGGTCTGAGTAGGAAACATTTGTCATCTATTGTCTCTAAGGGCAGCCACTATAAGACTTCAAAAGAACCTTGGTCTCCACAATCTTTTATCTTAACCTGAATATTTCCTCTCTATTAATCCCAGGTCTTTAGACAAACTCAACCAATTGTCAACCAGAAAATGTTTTAATTTACCTAAAGCCTGGAAGGCCCTGCCTCCTTCAAATTGTCCAGCCTTTCTGGACCAAACCAATGTATTTCTCAAATGTGTTTGATTGATGCCTCACGCCTCCCTAAAATGTATAAAACCAAGCTGCCCCCCGACCACCTTGGGTACATGGTCTCAGGACCTCCTTAGGGCTGTGTCAGGGGCCATGGTCATTATCATATTTGGCTCAGAATAAATCTCTTCAAATATTTTATAGAGTTTGACTCTTTTTGTCAACAAGAGTAAGTCTTGATATGTGATACGATCTGAGGGAGGCTCGGATCCACAGCTGGGGTTTGGACAGCTGTAGCATCACCCTGGGAGCTCCCGCCCCAACTCGGAAGGGGCAGGGCTCCCTGCGGCTCCATAGCGTGTATAGCCCGGGCTGGGCCTCCCTGGGGCAGGTGGCGTCATGGCAGCAGCAAGCCGTCTGGAGTGGCTGCTGCCATCACCAAAGGCCCAACCTCTCAGATCACATTGGGTGTCAAGATTTAACATGAGGCCGGGCGCGGTGGCTCACGCCTGTAATCCCAGCACTTTGGGAGGCCGAGGTGGGTGGATCATGAGGTCAGGAGATCGAGACCATCCTGGCTAACATATCTCTACTATAAATACAAAAAATTAGCCAGGTGTGGTGGCGGGTGCCTGTAGTCTCAGCTACTCGGGAGGCTGAGGCAGGAAAATGGCATGAACCTGGGAGGCGGAGCTTGCAGTGAGCCGAGATCCATCATTGCACTCCAGCCTGGGTGACAGAGCAAGACTCTGTCTCAAAAAAAAAAAAAAAAAAAAAGATTTAATATGTGGCCAGGCGCGGTAGCTCACACCTGTAATCCCAACACTTTGGGAGGTCAAAGTGGGAGGATCATGGGGTCAAGAGATCGAGACCATCCTGGCCAATATGGTGAAACCCTGCCTCTACTAAAAATACAAAAATTAGCTGGGAATAGTGGCACACGCCTGTAGTCCCTGCTACTCAGGAGGCTGAGGCAGGAGAATTGCTTGAACCCAGGAGGCAGAGGTTGCAGTGAGCCGAGATCACACCATTGCACTCCAGCCTGGGCGACAGAGGGAAACTCTGTCTCAGAAAAAAAAATAGAAAAGATCTAACATATGAATCTGTGGAAAGCACCGCCATGCAGCACAGGCCCAGGATTTGAAGTAAACTGAAGAGGCTCAACACATGTGGAGGTGGCTTTGTAAATAACTTCAGGAAACTAACTGAGGGTCATGTACCAGCAGGAGCAACTTCATAAAGGGGCCATGGAGAACCTGAGTTCCTTGCTGTTAAAAAGGAATATATAAATCCTGTTAGTTCAGAGAAAGCACAGATCATCAGTCTGATGAGGATAGGGCTTAATTATGGGCTGAATTACATCTCCTCAAAATTCGTGTGCTGAATCCTAACTCCCAGTAACTCAGAATGTGACTGTATTTAGAGACAAGAGGCCGTTGTGAAAAAAGGAAATTTGGACATAAAAAAGACACTAGGGGCTACGTGTGGTGGCTCACGCCTGTAATTTCAGCACTTTGGGAAGCCCAGGTGGGCGGATCGCCTGAGGTCAGGAGTTCAAGACCAGCCTGGCCAACATGGCCAAACCCCATGTCTACTAAAAATACAAAAATTAGCTGGGCGCGGTGGTGCACGCCTGTAATCCCAGCTACTCGATAGGCTGAGGCAGGGGAATCGCTTGAATCCAGGAGGCAGAGGCTGCAGTGAGCTGAGATCGTGTCATTGCACTCCAGCTGGGCAACAGAGTAAGACTCCAACTCAAAAAAAAAAAAAAGAAAAGGACACCAGGATATGTACATCCAGAGGAAAGACCACGTGGAGACACAGCAAGAAGGCGGCCATCTGCATACAAAGCAGAGAGACCCCGGGAGAAACTGACCCTACTGGCACCTCCATCTTGGATTTCCAGCCTGCAGAACGGTGAGAAAATCCATTTCTGTCCCATAAGCCCCCCAGTGGGGGGCATTTTGTTATGGCTTCCCTAGCACACAACTGTAGGTGGTAAACATATTTTAAACATTATAGTGATCATTTGTAAAAAAAAAAAAAAAAAAAAATTCAAAGAAATATATTTTCTACAGCTTCTCTTTATGATACCCTATGTTCCAAAGGCTACCTATTGTATTTTCTAGAAGACTATAAGAATTTTTCACACATGCTGGGGCCTGTCAGAGGGTGGAGGGTGGTAGCAGAGAGAGGATCAGGAAAAATAACTAGTGGGTACTAGGCTTAATAACTGGGTGATAAAATAATCTGATAATCAGGAAGTAGTAAATACACTAGAAAAAAAATAATCTGTACAACAAACCCCCATGACACACGTTTACCCGTGTAACAAACCTGCACATCCTGCCCATGTACCCCTGAACTTAAATGTCAAAAAAAAAAAAAGAATTTTTCTAGTATCATGCCAGGCTCTGTGGTTCATGCCTGTAATCCCAGCACTTTGGGAGGCTGAGGCAAGTTGATTGCTTGAGCATAGGAGTTCGAGACCAGCCTGGGGAAAATGGTAAAACCCTGTCTATACTAAAAATACAAAAATTAGCTGAGCATGGTGGTGCATGCTTGTAGTCCGGGCTACTCTAGAGGCTGAGGCAGGAGGATCGCTGGAGCCCAGGAGGTGGAGGCTGCAGTGAGCCATCATTGCACCACTGCACTCCAGCCTGGGTGACAGAGTGAGACCCTGTCTCAAAAAAAAAAAAATCAATTTTTCTAGTGCTATACATTTAATTTTTTTTTCTGTTATGAACATTAGGTTTCTTTGCCTTATTGTTTCAAATTCTTTGGAAGCATTGTTCAATCAATCACATGAGCACAATAGTTGGTACAAAACAGTCATTATTTTGAAAGACCATCACCTGATATGAACAGTTCATTCATAAACTTGAGCCTTTTTTTGTTTTTGTTTTTGTTTTTGAGACAGAATCTTGCTCTGTTGCCCAGGCTGGCGTTCAGTGGCACGATCTCTGGTCACTGCAACCTCCACCTCCCAGGCTCAAGTGATTCTCCTGCCTCAGCCTCCCAAGTAGCTGGGATTACAGGTGCCTGCCACCACGTCCAGCTAATTATTTATTTATTTAATTTATTTTTTGAGACGGAGTTTCACTCTTGTCACCCAGGCTGGAGTGCAGTGGCACGATCTTGGCTCACTGAAACCTCCACCTCCTGGGTTCAAGCAATTCTCCTGCCTTAGCCTCCTGAGTAGCTGGGATTACAGGCGCCCACCACCATGCCGGGCTAATTTTTGTATTTTTCGTAGAGACGGGGTTTCACCATGTTAGCCAGGCTGGTCTCAATCTCCCAGCCTCAGGTGATCTGCCTGCCTCAGCTTCCCAAAGCACTGGGATTACAGGTGTGAGCCACCGTGCCTGGCTGAGTTTGTTTTGTTTTAAAGACCTCAGGGATGTACCTCTAATTGACACTACATCACATTAATCAATAGCTGCACTTTTTGCAAACTGTGGCTATGACAGTCCTGAACAAGAAGGGTTTCCTGCTTAAGCTGCAGTAACTTTTCTGACTATGGATCATTGTTCCTTCTGTGGCAGATTTTTACACCTCCTCTAATGCATTTGGGATGACTGTCTCCAAGTAACCTGCAGCTTTCCTCACTGTCTCTCCTGCTAAGAACTGTTGCCCTTTTCTGCTGTTTTTAGAACCTTCTGTTTTCATATCCACCAGTTCCACGGCCAGATCTATAACGACCACCAGAGGGACTGCCTGAGCTTCTTCCACCAAAACTGCCCCGCATAAACTTGAGCTTTTAAGCGGCATTATATATAAGCCCTATACGAGTTTAACTTGATCTTGTTAAGGTAAACAATCTGTTCAGTCTCACTTTCTTTTTGCATTGATAATTTTAATAATGTCTGATCATTTACTTTCTAAAATCACAAATGCAGTAGCAAGTTTTGGCCAGTTTCATTTTCTTAACTTTTCTCCTCCACATGGGACATGCTACGGGAAGAGGCTTAGAATCGTGGAAAGAGGAGAGTCATCTGCTTTCAGTGCTGGATACAAGGGCAGGTTGTGTGACCTTGGGAACACGTGTTAAAATCTCCAGAACTGCATGTGCCTTTCCTCATCGTGAAGACACAGATCTCGAATAGGGTTGTTGTAGATAGTATGACCAACTGTTACCGTTTTACCAGGATTGGTGTGTGCAGGGGCGTGTGTGTGTGTCTTAGGATGTGGGACTTTCGGTTTTAAAATAGAAATGAGGAATTTCCCAGGACACAGAAATTTCAGGGCTAAACCAGAGAAAATCCTGGGCGAACCGGAACAATTTGGTTGCCCTAGTTGTAAGCACGTGAGTTGCAAAGATGTAGGTGTGATTATTCCCTTGATTCAGTAAACAATTTTTTTCTTTTTTCCCATTGCCCTATCAACCCAACTCCTAGGTCTAATTCTTTACCTGTGCCCTTGGGTGACATGTAAAGCAAGTCTCATAACTTTTTTTTTTTTTGAGACAGTCTTGCTCTGTTGCCCAGCCTGGAGTGCTATGGTGCAGTCATGGTTCACTGCAACCTCTGCCTCCCAGGTTCAAGTGATTCTCCTGCCTCAGCCTCCCGAGCAGCTGGGATTACAAGCATGTGCTACCACGCCCAGCTAATTTTTGTATTTTTAGTAGAGACAGGGTTTCGCCATGTTGGCCAGGCTGGTCTCGAACTCCTGACCTTAAGTGATCCGCCCACCTTGGCCTCCCAAAGTGCTAGGATTACAGGTGTGAGCCACTGCGCCCGGCCTTCTCATAATTTTTATAGTCATCTTAGGTCATAAAGACTTCCAGCTGCTTCTTAAAAAAGTCACATACAAGAAAAAAATACAGTGTCAGCTCAGTGATTAAAATCCTTTCGGCAGGTTGCCTGCAACGTGGAGGAAGCGTGGTCAGCTTTTCCTTTATCTCCCCACGTGGAGCTTCTCCTGCTTCCCCCACTCTCTTGCAAGGCTGCAGACCTCTCACCTGCAGTTCCCTTGATGCCTGTAAATGCAGCTCCTCCACTTGGTCACATTACTGAATCCTTGGGGATCCGTCAGTACATTTCCAGCTTCTCTCTGCAGACTTCACCTCCTACCTCCAGGTGGCGCTCCTGCAAAGGATAAAAGCTCCTGGTACATTCATTCTCATATTCATTCTCTCTCCCCCCTCTCCCCCCCTCCCCCATTTCTCCCCTCTCCCCTCTCTCCCCTCCCACCCTCTCTCTCTCCTCCCACCCTCTCTCTCCAGTGAGGAAAGACCCTGTGTTAGCCCGTTCTCACACTGCTATAAATAGCCGAGGCCGTGTGTGGTGGCTCACACCTGTAATCTTAGCACTTTGGGAGGCTGAGGTGGGCGGATCACTTGAGGTTAGGAGTTCGAGACTAGCCTGGTCAACATGGTGAACGCCACCTCTACTAAAAATACAAAATTAGCCGGCTATTGGCGCATGCCTGTTGTCCCAGTTACTCGGTAGGCTGAGGCAGGAGAATCGCTTGAACCCAGGAGGCGGAGGTTGCAGTGAGCTGAGATTGCACCACTGCACACCAGCCTGGATGACAGGGGGGCTCAGTCTCAAAAAAAAAAGAAAGAGATTTAATTGACTTACAATTCCACATGGCTAGGGTGGCCTCAGGAAACTACAGTCATGGCAGAAGGGGAAGGAGAAGCAAATATCTTCTTCACAAGGCAACAAGAGAGAGAGAAGAGCAAGCAAAGGAGGAACTTGCCAAACGCTTATAAAACCATCAGATCTCCTGAGAACTCACTTTATCATGAGAACAACAAGGTAGAAGCCACCTCCATGATTCAATCACCTCCCACCAGGTTCCTCCCCCAACACCTGGGGATTACAATTCAAGATGAGATTTGGGTGGGGACATAAAGCCAAACCATATCAGACCCCATTCCTCTCTGGACCCGCCCCTCACCCCATATAACTACTCTGAATTGTCCAGTTGAAGAGACTGTCATCCTCCATCACACATCTACGGTGGACAGAGGATGGGACTCACAGCACACCAACAGCTTACGTAAACAAACACACAGAAACAAAACAAAACAAAAACTCTTCTAATCTCTGGAGACTATTATTCTAAGTGAAGTAACTCAGGAATGGAAAACCAAACATCATATGTTCTCACTGATATGTGGGAGCTAAACTATGAGGATGCAAAGGCATAAGAATGATACAATGGACTTTGGGGACTTGGGGGGAAAGGTGAGAGGGGGGCGAGGGATAAAAGACTATAAATGGGGTGCAGTGTATACTGCTTGGGTGATGGCTACACCACAATCTCACAAAGCACCACTAAAGAACTTACTCATGCAACCAAACACCACCTGTATCCCAATAGGAAAAAAAATACCTTCTAATCTCAACACTCCTTTCTTTTTTTTTTCTTTTTTTAATTTTTATTTATTTATTTATTTTTATTTTATTTTATTATTATTATACTTTAAGTTTTAGGGTACATGTGCACAATGTGCAGGTTAGTTACATATGTATACATGTGCCATGCTGGTGTGCTGCACCCACTAACTCGTCATTTAGCATTAGGTATATCTCCTAATGCTATCCCTCCCCCTTCCCCCCAACACTCCTTTCTTACCTTCAGGTGGACAAGAGGCCAAGGGTGTGGGGAAATTAGGTTTTCAGCATTTTCTCCTGAAGTCATGCAGAAATGGCCTTACTGTGAGATCTGACCTCGCTGGCATCTATAATCTTTGGGCCTGAGCAGAAACTGAGATTGCAATGAATCTACTTTGACATTCTGTTATATACATGTGCAAAAACCTTGGGAATACTGGGTATGAGCAGTTTGGAAGGAGAATGGATGGTAGGAATTCATTTTCATAAAAAAAAAAAAAGCTCATGAATAAGTGCACAAGAAAATGTAAGATCAGCCGGGCACAGTGGCTCACACCCGTAATCCCAGCACTTTGGGAGGCCGAGGCAGGCAGATCACCGGAGGTCAGGAATTGGAGACCAACCTGACCAACACAGAGAAACCCTGTCTCTACTAAAAATACAAAATTAGCCGGGCGTGGTGGTGCATGCCTGTAATCTCAGCTAATGGGGAGGCTGAGGCAGGAGAATCACTTGAATCCGGGAGGTGGAGGTTGTGTTGAGCTGAGATCGCACCACTGTACTCCAGCCTGGGCATCTCTAAAATATAAAAATTAGCCAGGCTTGGTGGCGGGCGCCTGTAATCCCAGCTGCTCAGGAGGCTGAGGCAGGAGAATCGCTTGAATCTGCGGGGTGGAGGTTGCTGTGAGCCAAGATGGTGCCACTTCATTGCAGCCTGGGCGAAAGAGTGAGACTCTGTCTCAAAAAAAAAAAAAAAAAAAAAGAGAACCCAGACCTGGAGTGGTGTCTCACGCCTGTAATCCCAGTATGGTGTCTCACTGCAGCCTTGACCTCCTAAGCTCAAGTGATCCTCCCGCCTCAGCTTCCTGAGAAGCTGGACGCACAGGCAAATGCTAATTTTTAAAAACTTTTTTGTAGAGATGGGATTTTGCCATGTTGCCCAGGCTGGTCTTGAACACCTGGGCTCAAGAGATCCTTCTGCCTCAGACTCCCAAAGTGCTGGGATTATAGGCGTGAGCTGCCACACCTGGCCTCCAGAACTATTTTAAAATAAAAAGTTAAGCCAGGTGAGGTGGCTCGCTCCTGTAATGCCAGCACTTTGGGAGGCTGAGGTGGGCAGATCACTTGAGGTCAGGAGTTTGAGACCAGCCTGGCCAACATGGTGAAGCCCTGTCTCTACGGAAAATACAAAAATTAGCTGGGCATAGTAGCAGGTGCCTGTAGCCCCAGCTACTCGGGAGGCTGAGGCAGGAGAATTGCTTGAACCCAGGAGGTGGAGGTTGCAGTGAGCCGAGATCGCGCCACTGCACTCCAGCCTGGGCGACAAGAGCAAGACTCTGTCTCAAATAAATAAATAAAAAGTTAATTTTTTGGAAAGGATGAGATAAAAAGCAGACGAAGGGCATAGAAAGGCCCTTCCAACGCGGCCCTCTCCAACATGAGGAAGCCTCCCACGAGATTTCCACTCACATCTCAAGAAACACAATTGCATCCAGCCCCTTCCTTAAATAACCACTAGCAGTGGGCGTGAGTTTACCTAACTGGGCTAAAGGTGTTTAAACTTCAGTGTGCATCAGAATCACCTGGAGGACTTGTCAAACCATAGGTTGGAGAGGAGGAGAAAGGAAAAGCTCACCTTCAGAGTTTCTGACTGATTCAGTAGGTCTGGGGTGGGGCTCAAGAATTTGCCTTTCTGACGAGCTCCCAGGTGATGCTGACGCTGCTGGTTCAGGGACCACACTTTCACAACCAGCACGTCACTAAGCCTTAGACTAATCAAGATTCATGCCTGAAACTAGAAAAGGGCCAAGTCTCCAAGGAACAAGGGTGGCCAACTGACACCTGAACAAAATCAGGGTTCTCGGCTGGGTGCGGTGGCTCAGGCCTGTAATCCCAGCACTTTGGGAGGCTGAGGTGGGCGAATCACGAGGTCAGGAGTTTGAGACCAGCCTGACCAACATGGTGAAACCCCGTCTCTACTAAAAATTCAAAAATTAGCTGGGTGTGGTGGCGAGCACCTGTAATCCAGCTACTGGGGAGGCTGAGGCAGGAGAATCACTTGAATCTGGGAGGTGGAGTTTGCAGTGAGCTGAGATTGCACCACTGCACTCTAGCCTGGGCGACAGAGCAAGACTGCATCTCAAGAAACAAAAACAAAAACAAAATCAGGATTCTCTTAGCAGAGAAGATTTTGGATTTTGAGAAACACCTGTCCCTTATATCGTACGATGACTTTTCTCTTATTTTTTCTGATCTTAATATAATTATATCAGCTTCCTGGAGAAGTTCCTCCACCACATTTTCTTACTTGTTCATTTTTCTTCAGCTGTATCAATTCTGCCTTTTTTTTTTTTTTTTTTAAAGAGACACGGTCTCACCATGTTGCCCAGACTGGTCTCGAACTCCTGGTCTCAAGTGATCATCCCACCTCAGCCTCTCAAAGTGCTGGGATTACAGGCGTGAGCCACGGCACCCACCCTACTGCCTATTCTGTTAGAGGATAATGTTATATATTTTTTACCATCATGTATTTTTATACTTTTTATTTCCATAAGCCTCTTGCTTTATGGAAAATTGTTCTTGTTTCATATTGCTAATATGTGTCCTTTTTTAGTATGTTTCTTTTTTTTTCTTTTTATTTTTTGAGACAGGGTCTTGCACTGTCACACAGACTGGAGTGCAGTGGCACAATCATAGCTCACTGCAGCCTTGACCTCCCAGGCTCAAGCAATCCTCCTGCCTCAGCCTCCCAAGTAGCTGGGGCCACAGGTGTGCACCACCACACTGGGCTAATTTTTTTTTTTTTTTTTTTGTAGAGATGGGAATCTCACTATGTTGCCCAGGCTGGCTTTGTTAAGAAGTACATTTCTTATGCTAATTATAAATTCTTGATCTATCTGACACCTCCTCCCCCGAAAAAAACACTCTCATTGCTTCACCACACCAAGCAACTGACA